>NC_000002.12:24630967-24782482 GCF_000001405.40 Homo sapiens | reverse complement strand
CACTGTTAGGTATGTTATTTGTTGAGAGTTTTGACAAATGCTCTATTAGATTAAGGGGTTTATCTTCTGCCACTGGTTGGCTAAAATTTTTTTCAGTTAATAAATGGATGTCTTAAATACCCTTTCTGCATTTACTGACATCATCATGTGGTTATTCTCTGTTGTTACTGTGGTGAATTGTACTCCTAGACTTCAAATATTGAACCATCTTTGTTCCTGTGATAAACTCTGCTAGGCATGATTATTTAATGTGAGAGACAGAGTTAAGAGACTTGGTTTCCAGTCATCTTTTAGTCTTTAAAAACCATGACCTTGGCCAGGCCCGGTGGTTCACGCCTGTAATCCCAGCACTTTGGGAGGCTGAGGCAGGCGGATCACCTGAGGTCAGGAGTTCGAGACCAGCCTGGCCAACACAGAGAAACCCCGTTTCTACTAAAAATATAAAATTAGCCGGGCGTGGTGGCACATGCTTGTAATCCCAGCTACTCAGGAGGCTGAGGCAGGAGAATTGCTTGAACCCGGGAGGCGGAGGTTGAGGTAAGCCAAGATTGCGCCATTGCACTCCAGCCTGGGCAACAAGAGCGAAACTCCATCTCAAAAAACAAAACAAAACAAAAAACAAAAACTATGACCTTAAAATTAACCATATACTGATGTCTTCAAAATTTATATCTTCAATCAGCTCCCTACATTTCAGGCCCATATATGTCCAACTGCTGATTTTACATCACTTGGATGTCTAATAGGAATCTTAAACTTATCATGACAGAAAATGAACTAAGCCTGCTTCTCTTCCCCATCTCTGTTAGTGGCAACTCCATCCTTCCAGTTGCCCAGGACAAAAACCCAAGAGTCATTATTATTCTTATTTTGAGACGGAGCCTTGCTCTGTTGCCCAGGCTGGAGTGCAATGGCGTGATGTCTGCTCACTGCAACCTCTGCTTCCCGGGTCAAGCGATTCTCCTGCCTCAGCGCCCGCCACAAGACCCAGCTAATTTTTTGTATTTTTAGTAGAGACAGGGTTTCACCATGTTGGCCAGGGTGGTCTTGAACTCCTGACCTCAAACCATCCACCCGCCTTGGCCTCCCAAAGTGCTGGGATTACAGGCGTGGGCCACCGTGCCCAGCCGAGAGTCATTATTGATTCTTCTCACACACACCCCACATCTGGTATGTCACCAAATATGGTTGTCTCTACCTTTAAAATAGATCCAGAATCTGACCACCTCTCCCGATTTCGACTGCTACCCTCCCGGTCCAAATCATCATCTCTTGCCTGGATGACTGCCATAGCCTCCTAACAAGTTTCCTAGCTTCTGCATCTGCCTTCTCCATAACAACTCTTCACACAAAGCCCAGAGTAGCCCTGCTAAAACCCAGGCAAGAGCACGCCACTTTTCCTGCTTAAAATCCGGTAGCACCTTGCCGTCTCAGTAAAAGCCAAAGAACTGATTTGGTCTACAAGGCCCCACACCCTCCTGTCCCTCATTGCCTCTTTGACCTAACTCCTACAGTTCTCCTCGGTCACTCTGCTCCAGCCTCAAGGCCTTTGCACCTCTGCTTAGGAAGGTCTTTCTCCATATTGCCATGGCTCACTATCTCACATCCTTCTGGTTGTCACTCAAATGTTACCTTCTCTGAAGGCATGTTCTGACTTTCCTGTTTTAAACTGTGATCACTCCACTCCACTGCTTCCTATCCCCCCTTCCCTACTTAATTTTTCTCCACAGCCCTTGTCATCTGACACACCATATATTTTGCTTATTGGTTTGTCAGCCAACCTTCATTAGAATGCAAGCTCCATGAGGGCAGGGATTTGTATTTTCTTCATTGAGGTAGCCCCAGTGCCTGAAATAGTACCTGGTAAATAGTAGGTATTCAGTTAATATCTGCTGGTTGAAAATATATATATTTTGTCACTACTATTAAATTACTTGTGATATAATCATTATTTAAAATAGCTAATATGCATTTTTTTTTGAGACAGAGTCTCACTCTGTTGCCCAGGCTAGAGTGCAGTGGCATGATCTCAGCTCACTGCAACCTCTGCCTCCCAGGTTCAAGCGATTCTCCTGCCTCAGCCTCCCAAGTAGCTGGGACTACAGGCGCCTGCCACCACGCCTGGCTAATTTTTGTATTTTTAATAGAGACGGGGTTTCACCATGTTGCCCAGGCTGGTCTCGATCTCCTGGCCTCGTGATCCGCCCGCCTTGGCCTCCCAAAGTGCTACATTACAGGCATGAGCACTGCGCCCGGCCACTAATGTGCAATTTTAAAGACAAATCCTCAGGTCTAAAGATTCCCAGGATGACTAGCCACAACTTACTTTTGAGCTGGTAATGAATAAAGTGACTGAAGTCATCTCTTTACTTGGGGTTATAAAAATCACATACCAAAAGACTGATTAAAAACCTAGAACTGGTTCATTATACTATTCTTTCTACTTTCACAGACACTTAGAAATTTCCTTAATAAAAAGCTATTTAGAAGCTTTCAACTGAAGGTAGGATGAAAATTTAAAGCCTAAGCTCAGAGTCATGCGAGTCTTTAAATAGGGTGTGCTCTATAGGGAGCTTTTCCCCAGATGGTTTTGCTTAAAGTCTAGCTTGCTAAGTAATTATTATTTAAAGTATAATTGCTAACATTAGAAGAATGTTAAAATGGAAAGCTAATTTTTAAAATTTATGCTTTTTTTTTAAAATTTTTTTTGAGATGGAGTCTCACTGTCTCACTCTGTGGCCCAAGCTGGAGTGCAATGGCGCGATCTCAGCTCATCGCAACCTTTGCCTCAGGGGGTCAAGTGATTCTCCTGCCTCAGCCTCCCAAGTAGCTGGGACTACAGGTGTGCACCACCACACCCGGTTAATTTTTTTGTATTTTTAGTAGAAACAGGGTTTCACCATGTTGCCCTGGGTGGTCTCGAACTCCTGAGCTCAGGTGATCCACCTGCCTCGGCCTCTCAAAGTGCTGGGATTACAGGCATGAGCTACCGTGCCCGGCCAATTTATGCTTTTTTAAAAATAGAAGTTTGCAAGGCAAAAAGGAAGATGATCAGGAAATATGTAGCCTAAAGTTAAGTATAGGCAGGTATGTGATAAATTACTTTGGACTTGAAAAAGCAGCAGAACTGAGCAGGGCTGGAATGCTTCTTCAGGAATGAGGAAGGAAACTCCAGGCAAGACCTTTGTTCCTGTTAGAGGAAGGTCAGCCTGTTTGTTGATGTGTCCCTTCTGTTCACTTTCTGAGTTAAGTCACTCAGCTTTTAGAGGCATTGGTTTTAAAGGCCAAACTGATAGAAATTTCACAAGGAGCCATCTTATTCTTGTTTAATTTCAACATGAATTGCTTCTCAGCAGCATTTTATTGTAGGTAAAAGAGTGAATAGGACATACGAAAAGAAAAGAAAAATTTGGGGACCCCCAAACTCACTGTGCTAAAGGGAAAGTTAAACTTGTGAACTGAAGCACACAAAAACTTCCTTCCTTTTATTCTTAAACAGATAGCTGTGATTTCACATGCTGACCTTACCTTATGTGTAAAAGGAATGGCTGGGCACAGTGGCTCACGCCTGTAATCCCAAGGCAAGCAGATCACTTGAGGCCAGAAGTTTGAGACAAGCCTGGCCAACACAGCAAAACCTCGTCTCTACTAAAAATACAAAAAATTAGCCAGGTGTGATGGCACATGCCTGTAATCCCAGCTACTCAAGAGGCTGAGGCCCAAGAATTGCTTGAACTCAGGAGGTGGAGGTTGCAGTGAGCTGAGATCATGCCACTGCACTCTAGCCTGGGTGACAGAGGGAGATCCTGTCTCAAAAAAAAAAAAAAGAAAAGAAAAGAAAAGAAAAGAAAAAAATAAAGATTTATTGAGTGCAGGAAAAATGCATAATTGACTTTCCCCTACTCCTGTCTTTTCAAACGTAAAATGTGAATTCAGTGAGTGCTAATCAAAGCCTCACAAGAATGTAACGATTTGCCTTACCACCTAACCTCCCCCTTTCTCTTTCCTCCTACCCCTTCTGTCCACTCTTTGCCCTTTAAATACTGAAGTCCTCAAAACCATCTTTGAAAACAGTACAGGCCACAGATCCTATTGTAACTTGTATTTCTTTTTCCCATGCACAACCTCAACTGTGGCAAAGTAAACCTCTAAATCAGTTGAGATCTGTCTCAGACACTTTTTGGTTTATACTATATATTCATTTTTGTAGGGAAGACTGGAAGTGATTGTCTCACCGATCTGCCTTTCCTACTTTCTCAGTTAAGATGGTAGTCAACTCAATCAGCTGATTTTCAGTGAGAGGGTAATTTCGGAGAAGTGGAAAGGGTTTAACCCAAGCATATATCATCTATAAAGCTGAGAGCTTGATGAAGTATTGCAGATAACTGCTAATGTTCTGTAAATTCTCCAACGATGTAGAGGCTCCTAGAGTGTGAGAATTTCGAAACTCCTAGTGAAAGGGACTTGTATTCACTCACCTTTTATGAAAACAAACAAACAAACAAACAAAAAACAGTTGATACAGGAGCTAGAAAGAAATTATTTAGGTAGATAGTGAGGGCAACAGAGTCCTTGACGGATTTTCCCTTTTAACAAAAAGCAGCCCCCCCCACAATCATTTCTTTTCTAACAAAGAACAGCCTGAAAAATCAAACTGCAGTCATAGATAAGCAAGCTGGAAGCTTGCATGGGTGAATGCTGCCAGTTGTGCCAATAGAAAAGGGCTACCTGGGCTGGGCGCAGCGGTGGCTCATGCTGGTAATCCCAGCACTCTGGGAGGCCAGGGTGGGCGGATCACGAGGTCAGGAGGTCGAGACCATCCTGGCTAACACGGTGAAACCCCATCTCTACTAAAAATACAAAAAATTAGCCGGGCGTGGTGGCAGGCGCCTGTAGTCCCAGCTACTTGGGAGGCTGAGGCAGGAGAATGACATGAACCCGGGAGGCGGAGTTTGCAGTGAGCCGAGATTGCGCCACTGCACTCCAGCCTGGGCCACAGAGTGAGACTCCATCTCAAAAAAAAAAAAAAAAAAAAAAAAAAGGGCCACCTGAGGGCCAGGCATGCTCAACATGGAGGCTCCAGCTTCCCTTTGTCACCATGTGTAAAGAACCAGGTAACATGGCGCAGGCCAGTTAGAGAACCCGTCTGCATAATAAAAGATTAGTGTGGGACAACCACCTTCTTTGCATGCTATGCAAATGGTACACCTACAGTTCTCACCAGCTTTTTGTGTGCTATGTAAATGGCACAGCTGGTCCAACCAATCTTGTACACCCTATGTAAATCAGACACCTCTTCCTCAAGCTCATCTATAAAACCTTATGCATTTCACTGCAGAAGTGGCAAACCATTTCCCATTTTCTCCGGGACCCCTCTCTTTGCAGCAGAGAGAGTTTTTCTCTTTCTTCCAACTATTAAGGTTCTGCTCTGAACCTCACTCTTGGTGTGTCTGCATCCTAGTTTTCCGTGGCCATGAGACAACGAATCTTGGGTATTTATTTACCCTAGATGGTGATGCCGTTTCATAGTCATCAAGATGAAATCAAAATCCTGTCTTGACCTTTTAGACAAGTCTGCAACCTTCTATCAGCTCAACAATCCAGACTCTAGGGAGACAACTCAGTGCCAGTCTACCCACAGCAATTTTCCCTTATTTGAAATATTGCCTTTGAGTCTATTTCTTCAACCAGCATTTAAGATCCTACTATGTAGAAGGTTCGGCGGGAGGCTAGGGGTGGTAGGAGTGTGTGTATCTCTTCTTTAAGAGGCTTACAATTTAGTGAAGAAAAGAAACAGATGTACATATAACTGCATGCCAATGGAGACCCAAACACTGCAGCAAGGCAGAGCAAAGGAAGGGTTAATCAGAATGTGGGGACAGTGGGGGCTTCATGGCAAGGGCATCTCAACTGAAGTCTTTTTTTTTTTTTTTTTTTTTTTTTGAGATGGAATCTTGCTCTGTCGCTCAGGCTGGAGTGCAGTGGCGCGATCTCGGCTCACTGCAAGCTCCACCTCCCGGGTTCAAGCCATTCTCCTGCCTCAGCCTCCGAAGCAGCTGGGACTACAGGCGCCCACCACCACGCCCGGCTAATTTTTTTGTTTTTTTTTTAATAGAGACGGAGTTCCACCGTGTTAGCCAGGATGGCCTCAATCTCCTGACCTCGTGATCCACCCGCCTCGGTCTCCCAAAGTGCGGGGATTACAGGCATGAGCCACCGTGCCCGGCCTCAACTGAAGTCTTGAAGGATGAGTAGAAGGGAAGAGCATACAGGCTAAGGGGAAGAGACTGGGGATGGCAATGAAAGCGAGAACATGGTAAATTCAAGAATAAAGACCGGATCATTTTTGTGGCAGGACCTTTTTGTTTAGAGAGAGTGTAGAGGGCAATGAAGCTCAAAAGGTCACTGGATTTCAGATCAACTCTAGGCAAGAAGCAGACACTAAGATTCTGAAGGTTGTGTTTATAAAGATTTCTCTGATGATTGTGTGAAGGATGCGTGTAAAAGGCATGAAGGTGGTTACTGTAATCGTCTGAAAAAGGATAATTAAGTCTGGAATTCGGTCAGTGAGTAATAGGGCTAGAAAGGAGGAGATGGCTATGAGGCACTACAAAGTGGGACTTCTTGCAATTTAGTGAAATGAGTGGGAAAAAGTTGTTGAAAATGACCACTAGCAGGATAATGATGCAATTAATTCGGATGGAGATATAAGAACATATTTGTGGGGAATAAGTTATTTGGTTTGGGACTTAAGTTTGAGGTGCTGGAGGTGGGAGGGTGGGATCCATGTGGTAATGCTCACCAGTTGAAAATTTAAAACTGGATTATGAGAGAGATGTTGAAGAGTGGACTTAAGATGTATACATGTGTGAGTGGTACTGAGTTCAAGGGAAGAGCTGTTCAGTGAGAGTACAGGGCCCTGCCTGAAAAACATTATCCTCATATACATTAAAAACATGTTATACTTTGACAAACTCAAAATTAGAGCTCTGTTGGCCAGGTTGGTCTCAAACTCCTTACCTCAAGCAATCCCCCCGCCTTGTCCTCCCAAAGTGCTAGGATTACAGGTGTGAACCACTGTGCCTGACCTAGATTTGTTTTCAAAATGGAAACCCCTATGAGCTTGTAAGGAATTTGGAGTTCCAGAGAATAATTTTTAACTCATCAGAATTCCCACAGTCATTATGTCATCGTCTTTTTTTTTTTTTTTTTTTTGAGACGGAGTCTTGCTCTGTCACCCAGGCTGGAGTGCAGCGGTGTGATCTCAGCTCACTGCAACCTCTGCCTCCTGGGTTCAAGCAATTCTTCTGCCCCAGTCACCTGAGTAGCTGGGATTAACATGCATGTGCCACCACGTGTGGCTCAATTTTTATATTTTTAGTAGATGGGGTTTTGCCATGTTGGCCAGGCTGGTCTCGGACTCCTGACCTCAGGTGATCCGCCCGCCTTGGCCTCCCAAAGTGTTGAGATTATAGGCGTGAGCCACTGTGCCCAGGCAGGTGCTTTTATCTCTAGTACTTGTATTGTGCAGTGGAACCACTGGCAGGTTTCATTCCAAAGCCCAAGGATTGACTCTTGGGCCGAGCGCTTGTTAGTCACTTGACTATAAATCTGAGCTTCAGTTTCACCATCTGTAAAACGGCCTACTGTAATTGCTTTATAGGATTTTGCAGATCAAATATGTGAAAGTGCTATACAAATGTAAGAAATTATTCACACAAAAGTGGGTTACTAGACTAGTACATTGCCTGGCAGAGTAAAAATAAAAAATCTGTTAACTGATGTAGAATCTCCAGTTAGGAAAGAAGCAGCTTCACAGCAGTGTCTCTGTACTTCCCACACTGCTGTACTGTGTCAGTACAGCAACAGCTCATCAAAAATGGAATAAAGGCTGGGCTCGGTGACTCACGTCTGTAATCCCAGCACTTGGGAGGTCAAGGCAGGAGGATCACTTGAGGCCAGGAGTTCAAGACCAGCCTGGGCAATATAGCGAGACCCTGCCTCTACCCTCCCCCCAAAAAAATTAGCTGAGTGATGCACTTGTAGTCCCAGCTACTTGGGAGGCTGAGGCAGGAAGATGGTTTAGGCCCAGGAGTTTGAGGCTGCAGTGAGCGATTCTCATGCCATTGTACTCCAGCCTGGGAGAAATCCTGACTCTAAAAAGAAAAAAGGAGTAAATACCATACCGTAGTCTCGGGGTTTTGCTTTACCTGAGGGCTCCTTGGCACTGGAATGGGAGGAAAATCTGATGGAACAGAAGTTATTCCTTTCAACGTAATTCTTCTTTTCTCAAGCCAATGTCTCAAGTTTGTTATGGACACCTGTGGGCACTGCTTGCTTCTGCTGGTTGTACAAACTACCAGTTCAGAGACAAGCATAAACAATTAGACCAGGGCCAAACTCCACAGCATAAGAGAACGATTCTTTGTCTGCAGTAGGATCAAGAGTCAGGGAAAGGCAAGTTTTTCCAAGGTCTGATCCAATAAACCTACTATCCTAGGGTGAACTGTAGGGTCCTAAAATTCCTCTGCCTCACAAAAAGGATCCTCTGTCAGTCATTCTTATACCTGCCCCAGAAGGAACTCACATTTTCCAAAATTCTTTTAAGCTAAGGGGATGACCCTGTAGTTTCATAGACTCCTTCTTCATTCCTTGTTTAGATATGCAGGCACAGAATGCTTCTCCCAAACGGTAGTGGGACACCCTGCTGACCACATGCCAAAGATAACCCCTATTTAGTTGAGGCCTCCAAAGGGCAGGCTCTGACCACCTCCAGAGAAGGGGCCGGGTCCTCTCTTCTCAACCCCAGAGTTCTTGCCTGTCTTTTCAAAGCTGTTTTAGTTATTTCACATATGAAAGCACTGCCTAAGATCAAAAAGAGATTAAAGTCTACAGACTCAGAATCCATACTAAATCATATTGTCCAGGATAGTGAATCCAGAATTTGGAATTAGACTTGGTTTCAACTCCCAATTTCCACTGATAAATGGTAGTGTTTGTATCATAACCCTTTAGAACTTGTTTTCTTTTTTTTTTTTTTTTGAGACGGAGTCTCGCTCTGTTGCCAGGCTGGAGTTCAGTGGTGCAATCTCGGCTCACTGCAACCTCCGCCTCCTGGATTCAAACGATTCTCCTGCCTCAGCCTCCCAAATGGCTTGGATTACAGGTGTGCGCCACCACGCCCAGCTAATTTTTGTATTTTTAGTAGAGACTGGGTTTCACCATGTTGGCCACAATGGTCTCCATCTCTTGACCTCATGATCTGCCTGCCTTGGCCTCCCAAAGTGCTGGGATTACAGGTGTGAGCCACTGCACCTGGCCTTTTTTTTTTTTTTTTTTTTTTGAGATGGAGTTTCGCTCTTGTTGCCTAGGCTGGAGTGCAATGGTGTGATCTTGGCTCACTGCAACCTCCACCTCCTGGGTTCAAGCAATTCTTCTGCTTCAGCCTCCTGAGTAGCTACCTACTCAGGCGCACGCTACCATGCCCAGCTAATTTTTTTGTATTTTTAGTAGAGACAGGGTTTCATCATGTTGGCCAGGCTGGTCCTGAACTCCTGACCTCAGGTGATCCACCCACCTCAGCTTCCCAAAGTACTGGGATTACAGGCGTGAGCCACTGCACCCAGCCCAGAGCTTATTTTCTAACAACTCTCTACAAGGACAGCAGAGGATTAAATGAGATAATGTCCAGAAAAGTATTTTAGAAATTGTTACAAACTTATTGTCTCCGAGTACTTTTAATACTGTCACCAGCTACAGACTACTGTGTAGAAGATACAGAAGCCTGTATTTCTGGCAGGACAGGGCTAGTTGTGGAAGAGACTTTAGGTATGAGCTGAAACAATTTTCAAGTGAGGATCCCAATGCCTAGTGCTGTTCCTCCTGGAGCCATGGGCTGACGTAACTCTAATGTAGATGCCAGCTCAGGAGAGTGCTAGTTAACAACTTAAAACAAGCAGCTCTCTGGGGCTCCTCCCTGTCTCCAGGCCTTCCCATGTGCTGCCTCTCACAACTCTGTTCACTGGCTCTCCACTGAGCTACCTCCTCATCACCTGCAAACCTCACTTTGAATGCCATTGCTTCCTCAAGGGAAACTGCCTTCGCCTCCAGATGAGGCCCTGCTTACAAATTCCTACTTGGAATTCTCCTGTGTGAATTCCACAGTTGGAATTAATCCAGTTGTGGTTATCTTGATCTAAGCCCCCTGATGTGAATATAAGCTCCACTAGGGCAGGGCGCATGCCTGTCGGGATCCTTTCATATCCCCAGTTCCTCAGATAAAGACAATACAATGTGTTGAATGAGTGAGTAAGGCCAGAACTTTGTGTTCCTTCAATCTTGTTAAGAATTCTGGGGGCAATGAAAATATAGAAAGAAAACTAATTTAGTGCTGGCAGAAAGGGTTCTGGACAGAGGCACGCTTCCTTTGGCAGTTTTCTCCAATAAAAATAATTTATGGGCTTAATTAAATCATCAAGATCTTCAGGGGCACAGGAATGGTCAAGGCTCAAGCTTGCTCTGAATTACTCACTTTATTCAAGTGGAGGTGCCCTTCTGGGAAGAGCAGTTACTGTCAACCAGGAAATCAGTACAACTGCCTTTGTAAGCAGACAACTGTCCTTGCTTTTTCTTTGTCAGGGCCTAGGAGACCATTTCTGAGGTCTTCTTTAGGAATGGAACCTACCTTAGGTGAAACCACAAAGGTGAAACTTCCTTATAACAATCACACTTTGTCCTCAATTGTTTTTGTTTTCCTCACCCCTACACCTCAGGGTAACTTTAAATCAATGTTCAGCCTCATCTAAGGGAAGTTTCATTTTTATCTTATCCCAACTATGGAAAAAAAAGGTTTTGTCCCCCCATAAATATGACTTCAGAAAACAGTTACCAAATCTGTGTACATTTAGGTCTAGGAATGTGTGTGGGAAGTACACCCTCCTTGAGCCCTCTGGAATCACATTTACCTTATGACAGAGCAGGAGCATCGCCATCTTGGACAAGCCCCTCATTCTAAAATTCACCTTAATCAAAAACCGCCTAAATCCAAAGGGCATCAGCCTAATGACTAAGGTCAGCACAACCATAAACCACAAATAACATCTCCAACCAGCAACACTCCAAACTCCTCCCCAGCCAAAGACATGCTAACCCCGAGATAACCCCCCTCTGGCCAGAAAGACATCAGCCCCAAGATAACCTCCCCTTTGCCCAGACATTCCGACCCTGCCATAAAACTTCTCCCTCACACAAAAACATTCCAAGCTTGTGATAAGCCCCCTCACCCTAAAACCAACGTATACTCTTACTCTGTAAGAGAAAGCACTCCTGATGGAAATCAGCCAGAAGCCCCTCTCAGGTTTATTTTCTCTAAAATAAATCTGTCTTTAACTGTTGAGCCGCATTTCATGTTTGTTTCCTCTGTAACTCTTACACCCTAGCCCTACTTAGCCAAGTTGGTGGATTTAGGATTTAAAAACAAACAACAGGGCCTAATTCCTATAAAATGCATTGTCACATTGAAGGAGGCTTCTCAAGTAAGACTCAATACCTATTATTGATAAATGTTGATATATTTTAAAAAAAATAGAGAGAGACATGGCATCTATGGCCATGAAGTACTGCCTGGACCAGATCTTCTGAGTCAAGAAACAGCAGGCCTAGAAGTCTTTAATCATCAGATAATGTCACAGTTAGAACCCCTCAAGGCCTGCTATCATGACTTCAGTTTGACCTTCTCAAATTTCAATGGTCTGGCTCAAATCAGGATGACTTTGAGGATCTTTGGCTTCAGGGATGCTTTATTATCCTTTTATAATACTCGTTAATTTGGGCTTTGGCAATTTCTGCAGATGTACATTTCATTTCTTCCCTGTAAATGAAGAGGCAACCCATGAGGTTGTTAAACAAATTCTATTCAGTAGCTGGAAAAGTGAATTTCCTGTGGAATGACAGGAATTACATAGAAGCAAGCAATTTTATTTTCCTCAAATGTAGCAATAATTTTAATCTGTACATACATAAAACAAACAGTGCAATTATAAAACCTTGAAGGTGACATGCATATTTTAAGGTGCAGTTGGGATGGGGGAGGATGTTAGCATCTCCAATTTTCCTTACTTTTTTTTTCTAGTTCCTTATGCAAAAGCACTGAGTCAGGAAACTTCATCTGGAATGCTGAAGTTAAAGGTGAACTTCCTGAAGTCTGCGCGTCTAAATATCACAAACAAAATGGAAATGACCTTCTAGAGCAGTTTGGTAGGGACTAGAGTAATATGGCTGGCTTTCAAGCTGGAAATGAATGAAATCAGGGATGCATTTTCTGAAAAACTAAAGGAGATAATGTTTGTAACTGAGTGTCCTATTTCTGTTTCATAGTTGCTAACCACATGAGCCCTTCCACCAATCTTTTTATTCGGCATAGTTTCTGAATAGATGCTGTTCAATGGAGTTATTTGTAACTAGGGGTGGTGAGATGCAGAAGGAAGGACCTGGGGAAATGGCTTCTTCCTTGAAGTCTGAGTCCATGCTCCTCTTCCACTGTTCTTATGGCCTTTTCTCTGCCATGGAGGCAGAGGTAGCTGGTGCAGAATGTCAGGTGCTGTCATCATTCACAGGCCCAGGGATGCAGACAAAGGTGAGTGATGGGGGTCTACCTTTGCTTCTTCCACAATACCTTTCTCAAGCTTTCCTGGCCTTGCAGCGGAACTTCTAGAACTAGAAAGTCAGTTCACTGGGTTCTTGACTCAGAGGCCAGGATGAGATGGGATGTGGCAGAGTCACAAGACACAAAGGGAAAATATGGTACCAATTAGCCTCAGAGCAGGATAGAGAAATTTATATTTGCACTGATGAAAATTCAAATTCCCAAAGTCAATCTAAAAAATGAAGATTTCCTTTGAGTATTAATTTTTTCTCTGTACAAGTAGCCTGTGCACTTCTGTTCAGATGATCCCAGGGACACTCTAGGGCAGTATGCTCTAGATCAGCTGGAACAGCTCTTTCTGGCAGTGACATTTTGATTTGAACCCCAAAGTAAATCCATACATGACATCACAGTTATTAAAATAATGAAATATTACTAACCAAATGTAACTGCAATTCAATCAATGTTATATTTCACACACAAATTTAGAAAAATCAAGAGTATAATAAAAGCATAAAATTAAACAGAAGGAAATCAATTTCTACAAGAAATCAAATATATTTACAATGAGATTTAAAGGGAAAAATAAGCTACTTGGATCATAAATTTAATTTTATTTTAAATAACTTTAGCTACCTCAGCTGTTAATACAATAAAAGCAGAAAAAACAGGCTGCCTTTTATTTTTCCAGATTTAATCAGAAAATTGTATCTACAATAATTGACACAACTCACTTCTTGTCCTTCACCCATCTCATCAAAAATTATTGCATTTTCCCCCAAACTGTATTTTTTGGATTCCTCTGTGAATATACTCATTTCGTCCTCTTTCCTGGAGGCATCTTGGTTTAAATCCATCTTTAAAAAAAGGAGAAGGGGTACATATGTGGAGGCAAAATATTCTCTTGAAGCCAACAGATACAGAGTTGCTAGAGAAGCTGATTGTACACACAAGCTGCCTGGGATTGGGATGGGGAGGGCTGCTGATTTCGAGACACATGACAGCCTTTGGTGGACGGGCACAGGCAAAGCCCCACGGGCCCTTCTTCCTGGGCAGGGTTGGGACTAAGCGGCGGAGGCGGAGCTTCATCTTCTTCTTGGAACTTGTCGTTTTGGTTCTCCTCCAAAAGCCTTCATCCAGATAAGAAGCCAATGACTGATTACAAAAATAAGAATAATTAAATTTGGCTCAAGAAATAGATTGTCCAACTGTTCTGCCTTGGTATTTTTTCAATATCCAAGGCCTTTACAAAGAAAGAAACAAAAACATCTTTCAATCTCCCGACAAAAGCAAACTCCTTTTTTTTTTTTTTTTTTTTTTTTTGCTCCAAATGCTACGACCTGAAGAATGGCTGCAGATTGAGATATCAAAAATCTCAGAAAAATATATAATATATTTGTATATCTCTGTATGTCTATTATTTAAATTTCACATTCCTTTAAAAGTGGTTATTCAGTCAGTAGCTGCTGAAGGAGGCTCTTCTGCTGGGCCTGGGGGGTCTGTGGTCCTGACGTGGGCTTTTGAGTTCCCAGTGGACCAGGCTGGTTCAGGTAAGGGTCCCCGCCTACCAGATTCACTGTACACTGGACGTCAGCAAACACCTGAACCTGTTGCACCTGCTGGAACACAAATAAAAGATGTGTTTAGACAGAAGGGTCTGCCCCCCCGGCTTATGAGTGGGTACTACTTGAAGTGGAAACTCACTAGAGCATTCCTCTAGTCTGTAGTCACCACAGAGAAGAACTCTTCTGTCTTCTTGTCCTACAAAAAGAAAATCGCTGCACTCATTTTGCTCAGGGTTCTGGAAAGTTCACACTTTAAAAATAAAATCAAAATTGGAATGGTCACGCCTCCTATAGGGTTGCCATCAATACTGAAAGTGAGTATCATTGCTAATGTTGCCAAGATTGGGAGAAGCCCAGTTTCAGAGTCTGGGTATCCAGTGGTAGGTTTTAAAAAATACATGATATTTAGAAAACTGGTTTAAAACCATTCTATGGATGATTTCAGTAGGATAAAAAATCTTTATGATGTCACTGAAAAATTAAAGGGCTTTCAACCAGTATTAGCAAAACAAAACCACAACTCAATAAGAGGACATCAGCATCTAAGGTTAATGTCCAAAAGATTTTTTAGTATTTAAATATATTATTACACAGCTCTTTCACATATTGGCTTTAGAATTACAGCAAATTATCATTAGAACAATTTCATATTTGACTTTTTTCCCCTGATAGACAATCCATTTAAACACATGAGCTAAAATTAACAGTACGTCTATTAGCCTTGAGAACAGTGTGAATTTTCCCTTCACTACTATGAGTAATAATACACTTATTCCTTAAAAATGTCTAAAGTTGCACAGTTCTAGCATATTCTATTGGGAAAACAAAGCCAGAAGTTAGTCTTTACCAACCAGCCTTATTAAAAAGTTGTTCGTAGAACTGATTAGGGCCAATACCACACTTGTGAATGTTCCAGACCAGGAATGGAGATGCCTTCTAAGGCATCTAAGTGCATCTAAGTGTCTCAAACTTTTTGACAAACTTGTGTCTCCTGTTTGATAGGTCATAAAGTATTTTAGATTAGTGGTGTATTTTTTTTGGTCATTTATCACTAATTCATGTCAATTACACTCAGCTTTTTAAAAAACTTTTCTATCCTAATCGAGTAAAAGTTGTTTTCCATCAACCTTCATTAGCCAAATGTCAAATGTGGTATGCATCAAATTTGGACACCAGTCTGTCCCCTGGTCTCCTATCCTCTTAATCCGTTTATATCTCCACTTTCCTTCCTCTCAGATGAGGCAGACAGCCCCCAAGCTGAGCTTTCCTAGTGCCTAAGGAATCAAATCTCTAGTTAGATTTGCACTGCTTTTCTCTCCTTCTCTTCCCCTTTCCCTAGTTTCCCAAATGTGGCTTCTAGCTCCTATATGCTCCCATTTGTTACTGCCTCCTCTGGGCTCTTTCTCTTGTGTCTATAACACACCAACGCGCCCAGTCTGCTCTCCAGCTGCCTCTGTGCCCTTGCCCCGCCTTTGTGGTCTGTAACGTCTCATTCTGACTCTTTCCTTCTAGAGCTTCACCAGGCCTTCCTCTCTTCCTAGGTCAACGATCCTCCTGCCAGCCCTCTTCCCGCTCCTCTCTTCTCTTCTTGTTCTCTCCTGTCTTACCTCCTCCTGCCATCCCTCTTCCCACTCCTCTGTTCTCTTCCTGTTCTCTCCTGTCTTACCTCCTCCCCATCCCATCCCAGTTCCCTACTACTCCCCTAGTCCTCTTCTCCTCATCTTTTTCTTCTCCCTTTCTGTATATCTGTCTTTATATTTCTGTCTAACTCACTCCCCAGCTGCCGTCTGGTAAATACAAAAACACTGGAGCAAGATTCATGATTGGCCACAACAGAAAGAAAATTCTACCACTGAAACTTCACATGACCACAAAATATAGTTCTTTTTTAGGCAGTGATTTAAAAAAAGGTCAACATATAAAATTTGATGTTTATGTTTCTACATATGAAATATTGGGGCAGAGCATAAGATGTTTTTGTCCCTAAATTCTTAAAAAGTTCTTGATAAAGGCATGATAAAACAAACTAGAAAGTTCTGCTTCTTTAAAAATAAAACTTTTTAAAAGATAGTCTAGGATAGGCATGGAGGCTCATGCCTCTAATTCTAGCACTTTGGGAGGCTGAGGCAGGAGGATCACTTGATGCTAGAAGTTTGAGACCAGCCTGGGCAACATAGTGAGACCCATCTCTACAAAAAATAAAAAAATTAGCTGGGTGTGGTGGCACACGCCTGTCATTCTAGCTATTTGGGAGGCTGAGGCTGGAGAATCACTTGAACCCAGGAGGAGGAGGTTGCAGTGAGCTGAGATTGCACCACTGCATTCCAGCGTGGGCAACGACAAAGCAAGACTCCGTCTCAAAAAAAAAAAAAAAAAAAGTGTATTATTGAAATTACAGAAAACTGAAAAGACTGAACAAACTCTAAAACCCATTTCAAACTATTACTTAAAAGGGGGTGTCTCAGACCAGTCCACAAAGGACTTCTTATATTGTCACAACTTCTCAGATAGGCAAAGTGTGACACAAAAGAAGCTTCAGATCTTCCAGGTGAGAAGACTGGTGTGAGAGCTGAGTCCCAACCTCTGAAGATTTTCTGGCATAATTTTTGCTTCAGTTCAAATACTGTTTCAGGGCAGGGCTCTGGAACTTTAAAACATGGTTGTTTGGGTGTAACTAATTTGTCAAGCTGCCCAGTAATGTCTCTGTGGGTTTGAGACTTTCAAAAACATCTGGTGAATGAAGACTCTTCATTTCCTCGATCTTTTTTTTTTTTTTGAGACAGAGTCTTGCTCTGTCGCCCAGGCTGGAGTGCAGTGGCACGATCTCGGCTCACTGCCAGCTCCGCCTCCCAGGTTCACGCCATTCTCCTGCCTCAGCCTCCCGAGTAGCTGAGACTACAGGCGCCCGCCACCATGCCTGGCTAATTTTTTTTTGTATTTTAACACGGTTTCACCGTGTTAGCCAGGATGGTCTTGATCTCCTGACCTAGTGATCTGCCCGCCTCAGCCTCCTGAAGTATTGGGATTACAGGCGTGAGCCACCGCACCCGGCTCCCCAGTCTTAAAATGCCTTCTCTCTCTCTCTCTTTTTTTTTTTTGAGTCGAAGTATCCCTCTGTCGCCCAAGATAGAGTGCAGTGGTGTGATCTCGGCTCGCTGCAACCTCCACCTCCTGGGTTCAAGCGATTCTCCTGTCTCAACTTCCTGAATAGCTGGGACTGCAGGTGCCCGCCACCATGCCTGGCTAATTTTTGTATTTTTAGGCAGGGTTTCTCCATGTTGGCCAGGCTGGTCTCAAACTCCTGACCTCAAATGATTTGCCTGCCTCAGGCTTCCAAAGTGCTGGGATTACAGGTGTAAGCCAAAATGCCTTCTCTTTACCTTGAGAGGACTCAGGTCCTATTTCCTAATGCTTAGACTGTGAACCCAGTCTTCTAATCTTTGTCCTTCTCAACTGGCCAATATATCTTCCTTCACCTTCTTCCCAAGATGAAGTCTAAACTAGCACTTCTATCGATGTTCCCTTTCAGGGATGACTCTTCTGTCCATAGGGTTGAATCCAAATCCCTCAGTTTAGCATTCAAGGCCTCTGGAAATTTGCCCCAA
This sequence comes from Homo sapiens, assembly GCF_000001405.40. NCBI lineage: Eukaryota > Metazoa > Chordata > Mammalia > Primates > Hominidae > Homo > Homo sapiens. The sequence continues at coordinate 24,764,669 of NC_000002.12, read as the reverse complement.
GCCACTTTACCAATTTTAATTCCTATGAATACTTATTATAAACCCTTTACCTTCAGTTGATTTGGTTTCCCAGGACTATGTTGAGATATTACTATTTCCCTGTTTCTGTGGCCTTCCAGTTCCTTCTACTTCTAAATCTACCTCTGCACCAGCCTCCAACAACTACCATACCCTTTTCCTTCCCTTTGCCTTGGTAACTGTCCTTCAAGGCTCAGCTCAGCTCTATCTCTTGCAAAAATGCTCTTGTGACCATCTCAGCAAATTCTCCTTTCTTTGAATGCTTATGGTTCATTAATTGTAACATAAATTTAATAATTTGCCTTCTTTGGTTTTATGACAGTTTAGGTGCATATATTGATGTGTTTTATCTTTCAGCAGTCCCTAACTGGTATGGCAGGAACAGTGTGGACTCTGGCGGTAGAAAGACCTGGGTTTGAACCTCAGCTCTTCCTCTTTCTAGCACTGTGAATGGTACATGTAGTTAAACCTCCTCATGTTCAGTTTCTTCATCTGTGAAGAAAAGGAATACTACCTCGTTCATAGGGTTATAGTGAGGCTTAAATGAGATAATGCATACAGTGCATAGCACAGTGCCTGGCAAACCACAAGCATTTCACAAATGAAGTTTCCTTTCCTCACTTCTCCCCACAGTTCACCAGATGCTGATGGAACATATCTTATGTGTCTTCCTACTGCCATCTGTGGCATAATCCCTGGGTTAAAAATGTTCATTAAGAGACTAAAGTCTGGCCTGGCGTGGTGGCTCATGCTTGTAATCCTAGCACTTTGGGAGGCCGAGGCGGGTGGATCACCTTAGGTCAGGAGTTCGAGACCGGCCTGGTCAAAATGGCGAAAACCTGTCTCTACTGAAAAGACGAAAAATTAGCCGGGCATGGTGGCGGGCGCCTATAATCCCAGCTACTTGGGAGGCTGAGGCAGGAGAATCGCTTGAACCCAGGGGGCGCAGGTTGCAGTGAGCCAAGATCACGCCACTTCACTCCAGCCTGGGCAAAAGAGCGAAATTCCAACTCAAAAAAAAAAAAAAAAAAAAAAGAGAGAGAGACCAAAGTTCAACCAAAGTTACGAAAGTGAATTAAGCCCTTCCTCCAAAATTTTTTTTTTTTTTTTTTTTGAGATGGAGTCTCGCTGTCGCCCAGGCTGGAATGCAGTGGCGTGATCTCGGCTCACTGCAGGCTCCGCCCCCCGGGGTTCATGCCATTCTCCTGCCTCAGCCTCCCAAGTAGCTGGGACTACAGGCACCCGCCACCTCACCCGGCTAATTTTTTGGATTTTTAGTAGAGACAGGGTTTCACCATGTTAGCCAGGATGGTCTTAATCTCCTGACCTTGTGATCCGCCCGCCTCGGCCTCCCAAAGTGCTGGGATTACAGGCATGAGCCACCGCGCCCGGCCCACAATTTCTAAATTAGGTTAATATAGGAAAGTGGCCACCTTGCTGTTTGTGCTGTTTTGAAACATACTTCTTAGGAGGTGAAGTATACAGCAGGTACTCTGTTTTGTCTGAATTACTGAGATCTTCTGAGGTATTTTGATTACAGATGAGTTTTTAGCACTGTGCTTATTTACAAAATAACAATTAGTGGCCACCATTTGTGATCACTTTATCCTATCTAAGCACTGAGTTAAGCCATCTGAACTGATCTCATTGAATCCTCTCAACAATCCTATAAGCAGGTGTCATGTTAGTTCTGTGGTTATACAGCAGCTCAGGAAAGCTCCATAACATGCCCAGGACGACACAGCTAAGAAGAGCAGAGCCAGGACTCACACCCAGGTCTGACTCCCAAGGTCAGGCTCTTAATGATGCTACACAATGACCTCTGTGCATCTAGAGTACATTTGACAGCTCTGGGCTTAGAATTTCCTTACTGACCTGGGTTCCATCTGCTTCTGTTTTGAGAAGGTCAGTGGATGAGAGCTGGTTGCAGTAGAGGCCTGTGTGTCTCAGTGCGGGATCATTTATCTATTAAAGATAAATACAAGATCAAATTACAAGCTAGTTGTTTAAACTGAAAACCAAATTCTCCAATGAAAAACAATCTCACTGACAGAAAAGTAATAGGAGCACAGCAAAAATGAAAAGCTTAGCAATTAACTGTGTTGTTACAAGTCAGGATAGTCATTCCCCTTGTGGGGTAGTGAGTGTGTAAGGGACACAAGGAGAACCTCTGGGGTACTGATGACATTCTGTTTCTTGATCTGAGTGGTACTCAGGTGTGTTCACTTTGTGAAAATCTATTGAGTTGTACACTTTTCTCTATATTCTTATATATGATACTTTAATAAAAAGTTAATTCACACATACATATGTTAATTAGTGGTAGACTCACACTTTGGTCAAGATTTAGTAACAGGGATCAGACTTATCCTCCTGCCTCAATCAGCTAAAAAAATTGACAAAATATGTGAAAAAAAGGCACTGAAGACATTAGACAAAGGCAACGAAGGACAGTGATCCCTAACAGTTCAGCAGTCCCTACTGTGGCAACCGCCCAGCCTACTGCCTGGAGTGTATTTCCGGCTGTATCATGGACAAAGGGAATCCAGGCAGCGCCTGGCAGGCTCCCTGAGTTAAGGGGATGCAGCTAGAATCCTCAGAGCAGAATATCAGAGAGAGCTCTGGAATAGATCTGCAGTGGCCCTCAAGTCTGAAGCTCAGTACTAATCAGCTTATAGATGCAGGGGAAACAATCACCTGAATAGATGACATGGAACAATTCCCAAAGTCCCCACAGGGCTGGGAATAAGCCCTGATTTCACCCCCCAGAGTGGAAAACATCGTAATTCATGTAGTATCATGTAGCATATTAAAGGTTTTACCTTGGTGGTAAGGTTAGAATTAGCCCTAGAAAAAATACTGCTTTGGTCGCAGTAAACAAAAAAGCAAGGATCAAACTTCCAAGTAACCATTTCCTAGAACAAAGCTCAAGAATATTTGTAGGAATATAAACAAGGTAAAATTCATGTCTGGCATCCAATAAAAAATTACCAGGCATGCAAAGAGGCAGAAAAATATGATGCATAATGAAAAGGGAAGTCAACTGAAATCAATTCAAAAATGATGCTGATAATAGAACTGATAGGTGAGAAATATCAGGACAATTATAATAACCATATTCCATTTGTTTAAGAAATAAGAGGAAAGGCTGAACAGATATGAAAAAAATGTTGGAGATATGGAAGATATAAAAAGGATCCAAATATGACTGCTAGATATGAAAACTGCTATGTCTGAGATGAAAAATACACTGTATAAACAGATTAGATATTGCAAAATAAAGAATTAGTGAACCTGAGGCTACAGTAATATAAATGTTCTAAAATCAAAGAAAAAAATAACTGAACCTCATCCCAGTGCTCGAAAGCCCCCAAACCTAGAGAATCGGTGAATGTGAGACAATTTCAAGTGCACTATACATGCAACTGAAGTCTCTGAAGGAGAGGAATAAGGATGGTGACAAAAATTATTTGAAGAAATAATGATCAATATTTTCCAAAATTTGGCCGGGTGTGGTGGCTCACGCCTATAATCCCAGCACTTTGGGAGGCCGAGGTGGGCAGATCACCTGAGGTCAGGGGTTTGAGACCAGTCTGGCCAACATGGCAAAATCCCGTCTCTACTAAAAACATAAAAATTAGCTGGGTGTGGTGGCGCACCCCTGTACTCCCAGCTACTCAGAAGGCTGAGGCAGGAGAATTGCTTGAACCCAGGAGGTGGAGGTTACAGTGAGTGGAGACTGCGCCATTACACTCCAGCCTGGGTGACAGAGTGAGACTCTGTCTCAAAAAAACCACAAAAAAACAAAAAACGACAACAAAAAATTTTTTCCAAAATTTAATGAAAATTATATGGTAATGAATCAAGAAGCTCAATGAACCCCAAGAATAAGAAATATGAAGAAAATACACTGAAGCATATCATAATCAAATTACTTAGAACCAGTGGTGGAGAGAAAAATCAAAATCAGCCAGAGGGGAAAAACATCAATCATACATGGAAGAACAAAGATAAAATGACAGCAGATGTCTCATCAGCAACACTGTAGTGGAGCAACATCTTTAAAGTACTGAAAGCTAAAACTGCCAAGCTAGAGTTTAGGGGAAAGAACATTCAAAGATGAAGGTGAAAGACTTTTTCAGACATAGAAAAGCTCATTAGCCGCAGGCCTGCACTATAAAAATGTTAAAGCCAAGGCCGGGCGCGGTGGCTCACGCCTGTAATCCCAGCACTTTGGGAGGCCGAGGCGGGCAGAACATGATGTCAGGAGATTGAGACCATCCTGGCTAACACAGTGAAACCCCATCTCTACCAAAAATACAAAAAAAAAAAAAAAAAAAAAAAATTAGCCGGGCATGGTGGCGGGTGCCTGTAGTCCCAGCTACTTGGGAGTCTGAAGCAGGAGAATCGGTTGAACCTGGGAGGTGGAGGTTGCAGTGAGCTGAGGTTGTGCCACCACACTCCAGCCTGGGCTAAAGGGCGAGACTCCATCTCAAAAAAAAAAAAAAGAAAAAAAAAAAGTTAAAGCAAGACCCTCAGGCAGAAGGAAAATAATACCAAATGGAAATTTAGAACTACAAAAAGAATGCAGAAAATTTAAAGTGGTGACTATGTGGGTAAATATAAAAAAGCTTTTATTTAAATTTTCTTTAAATAGTCAATTATAGTTTATAATTAATTTATAAATTTGTAAGTAGAATTTATAAATTTATAATTTATAATTGACTAAAGAAAAAATAATAAATTGCAGGGAACAGAACATATATAAATATAACATGTATGACAACAGTAGCACAGGAGGGACAAAATAGAAATAAATTGTAATGAGGTTCTATACATTATATATACCTCTATACATTATATTATACCTCTATACATACATATATCACCTCATGTGATATAGAGGTGATATAATATACACCTCTATACATGAGGTGATATAGTATCATTTGAAGATAAAAAAGGTAATTGGTGTTTATATATTTTTATGATTGCCTATAAATGATGGCTGCATGGTAATAGCCTAGTTACTATAGCATACTTTGTGGTTGCTGATACGAATAATGAGAATAGCAACTATAGAGAGTTATTGCAATAATCTTAAATATTGTTTTGAATTTATTCATTCTCTTCTAAAAATATGTAAGAGGCTCCAGGATAAATTCCACACACTTAGATGGCATGCAACATATCAAAAAAGCTTACCACATTACTTCTTCTCTAAATAAAATATAAATATCCCCTTAACATTAATTAGGCTTTCAACTCCTATCCTGCCTAGGTCATGCTGTGATAACCAATCTTGAATGTTCTTTTTCTATTCTGTTTAGGCAACTTTTTCATAATGCCTTTTTTTGACCAGGCCTTTTTTCTTTTAAGCCCTCAGTAGTCAACTGTGCATACACTCCTCATCTGACAGAAACACATATGGCCTATCTCTTACATACCAGTTTTGTCCTATGATTAAAATGATCCTTTGTTCATGTTGTGTCTTTCCCAACTTGTACATATGCATGTCCCACAAGGCTATCTTTGTACACAGTAAGTACTGAATAAATGCTTATTGAATTAAAAGGTAGAGATGAAGAAAATGTTTCAAAATATAATGGAATATTCCAAGACAATATATTACATGTACTGTTTTTTTGTTTGTTTGTTTTTTTGAGATGGAGTCTTGCTCTGTTGCCCAGGCTGGAGTGCAGTGGCGCAATTACCAGCTCACTGCAACCTCCAACTCCTGGGTTCAAGCAATTCTCATGCCTCAGCCTCCCAAGGAGCTGGGATTACAGGTGCATGCCACCACGCACAGCTAATTTTTGTTTGTTTTTTTTTTAGTAGAGACAGGGTTTCACCATGTTGGCCAGGCTGGTCTCGAACTCCTGACCTTGTGATCCATCTGCCTTGGCCTCCCAAAGTGCTCGGATTATAGGCATAAGCCACCACACCCAGCCATGTACTGTTTTATAAATCTAAAACACTAAAATCTCATGAAACTGAAATCTTATTTATAAAGTCTGTCAAGGCCAGGAGTAGTGGCTCACACCTGTAATCCCAGCACTTTGGGAGGCTGGGATAGGAGGATTGCTTGAGCCCAGGAGTTCAAGCCCAGCCTGGGCAACATAGTGAGACCTTGTTTCTGCAAATAGTAAAAAAATTAGCTGGGCAGGGTGACATGTGCTTGCAGTCCCAGCTACTTAGGAGTCTGAGGTGGGAGGATCCCTTGAGCCTGGGCAGTCAAGGCTGCAGTGAGCTGTAATTGCACCACTGTACTCCAGCTTGGGTGACAAAGTGAGACTCCATCTCAAAAAAAAAAAAAAAAAAAAAAGTCTGTCAAAATTTTTCATTGTATATCTTAAGAGCCAGTAATTATTAAAAGTTAGTGGGAAAGAATAAAGAAGTGTGGCTATTTCTGATGAGTAACTGTCAACATACCTGATTTTCCTCAGAATTAACTGTGATGTGGTGTGGCATGTGTGTGGCGAGTGTGCCACTTACCTGCTCAGGGCACACAGTGTTCATTCCTGGCATCTGCAAAGAGCTCATCTGCATCTGGGCCATCATTGGGTTCATGTTCTGAACATTCGTATTTCCACCTGCCATGGAAACGGTGATGCTCATGTTGTTGTATACTCCTGGCTGTGCAGGCGTGGGCTGGTTCTGGACAGCTTGACTGAACACACTGTAAACTCAAAAACAATCCAGATTACATCCACTGATCATGAACAAGGGGATATATGACTAGATTCTGTTTCCAAATAAAATATGTTACATCCTTAAATTGCATGTATGACTGTAACTTCTTAAAATATATAAAAATTAATATAATTCAGATACATTCTGAAGTCTACATAAGGGATTAAATAACTGAAAAGAGCTCATTTTAAATAACAATTATCTGGCACAATATCAGAGATGCTAGGCTACAATCATCTAAATAATTAAGAAAGGAAGTTTTCCATGTAAGTAAATCTTCTAGGTAACTGACATTTACCTATCTAAACAGAGAATGTCCTATTTGAGCAAAGTGTCTGGCATATATATACATATATATATATATCTTCAATAAATGTTCACTGAATGAATTAACACACGAATGAATGATTCAAAGACAGCATCCTTATATTGTGTTTGCTTGTAGAGCCTCTTAGACTTAATACTTCAGGGGAGTGATGGTATCTTGTTCCACTTATTTCTCATCTCTATTAATATGTGACATATAGCAGGCACTCAGTAAATACCTGATGAATAAATGAATTATGGCATGGATTATTATTCGGTGCTGTCAAATGGTGCAGTTCAGATTGTTTTCTATTAAATGGTTTACTGTATCTGTGCCAGTGAAGTGGCATACATTTTTTGAAGTGTAGTGCAGAGACCATCTACAAGAGAATACCCTGGGACTCACTGGCAATTGAGACTCCCAGGTTTTACTCAAGCCCTGGTGAATCACATTTTCCAGGGGTGGGTATAGAAAGGTCCATCTTTAACTATTCATGCATACTAAAATTTGAGACCCTTTATTCAATATCCTATAGCTTGTTGTCACTTCTCAAGGTTTTATCTTCTGGTCGCTTTCAATATGCTACAAATTAAGAGGAAGCCAGATGTATACAACCAAATGTTTTTAGGTGGCAAATTTAATCCTTTTAAAGACTTCCAAGGTCTTATCAGGCCTCAACATAGCTTCATGTCTTTTCTAGGAAGCAAAATACATAAGCAGTTATGTTTTTCAGAGAGCCTGTTTTACTGACTTCCTTCTTCATGGCCAAGTTCTGGACTGTTGTTACACCAAAGATCTCAAATGTAAAATCAGTCTCTATTAGGAAGTAGAATAGTAAGCAATAAACTCCATGGGAATTCAACTTGACACTTTGTATTTGAACCCTGAAAATTTTCATTGATACAGATATGCACATCTAAAGGATAATGATATTAATTCTGTCTTTCCTAAGTTCTATAAACATCAAATATTTTATGACTATATATTAATTGTTAACAATAAACTGCTGGTAAAATTCCACCTATTTTAATATTAATTCTATAGAATTTGATTTTAGAAATAATTTTCCCCATCAATAGTTTATCTATTCCTCGCTAGCTCTTAGTGTTAAGAAGGATATACTGACATTTACAGTTTCCAGTAGACTAAGGTAATCATACTGAATTGACAGGCCAATAAACAGCCTATTTATCATGTCTGAAGAAAAGTACAGAATTTTCCCCCAAGTAATTATAAAACAAAAATGCCCACAGAAAATTATATGCCTAGGAAATAGTCAGTAATACACCTGTGGACCATTAATGTCTGCACAGTGTGTATGCTTATGGGGCAGTGATCCTACAACTAAAGGTGAGAAAAAAGCCTACTAATCTATGTCTATTTTCTTTTGTTTTTGGAGATGGGAGTTTTACTCTTGTTGCCCAGGCTGGAGTGCAATGGCGCAAACTCAGCTCACCGTAACCTCTGCCTCCTGGGTTCAAGTGATTCTCCTGCCTCAGCCTCCCGAGTAGCTAGGATTACAGGCGTGTGCCATCACGCCCAGCTAATTTTGTATTCTTTTTTTTTTTTTTTTTTTTTTTAGTAGAGATGGGGTTTTGCCATGTTGGTCAGGCTGGTCTCAACCTCCTGACCTCAGATGATCAACCTGCCTCGGCCTCCCAAAGTGCTGGGATTACAGGCATCAGCCATTGCACCCAGCCTCTATGCCTATTTTCTAATGAGAACATTTCTGCCTAAGACAGTACTCATTTGTCAATTGATACATAAGTCACCACTGCGGAGGAGCAAGGCTATGTAAGTTAATGCATGTGGAAACTTCAAGGACTGCAATGATGTCATACTTATTGAAAAAAATTTAGAGCTTAATTTCCTTTCAAATTAATATTTGGGACTGTATATTAGTTTAAGTTCTTTCAAACTGCTCCTGCCAATAGTTCCATTTTAGCATCTCCCATTAAGGGAAGGAGACCAAGCTCTTCTGCAGCTGCAATCACTGTCCTAGGTCCTAGAAAGACGTCTGGGTCCACTGACACCTAAAGTCCAACATTCACAGGCCCTCTTCCTCACTCTGCTTTCCTGCCTGCTTTGTAGCAGCTATCACAGTTTTCTCAGGGTAGCACTAGGTATTTGGTAGTCACTAAATGATGGGAAAAAGAGAAGGATGAATACTCTGGCCCAGAGTGGGTTCCACAGATATTACAGGTATTAACAAGCAGGGGAGTCCCTGGTCAAATAAGTCTGAGAAACAAAAGGTTAAACAACAGGACTTCTTATCCTTTAAAATGCTAATAAGCAATGGGATTCTCCCATCAACCAGCCTTACACAGAAGCACTACCCAGTTCCAGGACCCACAGGTTTGTTTAACCATTTCTTTCTCTTGCCACCAGAGAGATAATGAAAAAGAATCATGTTACACTACCTCTGAACTCTATTACATCATTCTACTTAATGGTTCTCTGACTGTTTCATGTTTTAATTCTCTCTGACCTGCCCCCTCACCAACTAGACTCTTCGTTATTTGGCAGCAGGGGTTGTTTTTCAGTGTTCCTCATGGTATCTTGTGTTGTGTGACAGAGACAGTGAGTGGTCACTGTCTCCAGGTGATATACGCTAATACACAAGGCTTATGATGACTAATAAGCTTTTGCACATGAACCAAATGAGCAAGTGTGAGTGTTTAAAGAGTTGGTGGTAACTGTTTTCTTTCCCAAATGATTTGGAAAGTCAAAGTTTGCAAAAACTACTAAAATACAACGAAAACCTATACCCATATTTGAATCTGAATCCAAGATGTTGACTTAGGGAGTATTTGTACTCATTTGTTTGATAGATGTATATGAAGGGCCTCCCTGTTCCAGAGTATGGAGAAACAGAAGTAATACAAAATAAAGTCCTTGCTCTTATGATGCTCATATTCTAGATGGAGAAGAAAAATCACAAATAAATAGACTATCACACAGTATGTCAAGTGTTAATCACTATGAAAAAAGTAAAGAATGGAAAGGAGGCGCCAGGGGTAGAAAATGCTATTATTTCAGAAATGGTGGTCAGGGAAGTGTAATAAGGTCACATTTAATGTCTGTGTCTAATAAAGTGACATTTAAGGAAAGACTTGAACTGTGAGAGACAAGCCATGTGGCCACTGAGGGAAGAACATTCCAGCAGAGAGATTAAAAAATGCAAACATCCTGAGTTTGCAGTGTACTTCGCACATCTGAGGAGCAGAAGGATAAAAGGAAGCCATTGTGGCAGAGTGAGCGGTGAGAATAACAGATGGGATCAGAGAGGTATCCAGGAACAAGATGATGTGGGGTTTTACGGGCCCTATTCTGTATTTTGAGTAAGATGGGGAGCTACTGGATGAGTTGTGCGTAAAGGACGGACATACTCTGCCTCATGTGTTAAAAGCATGGCTCTGGCTACCCATGTGGAGATTAAATGATGGTGCAGCAAGGGTGGAAGCAGGAGAGGAAGCTACTGGAATGGCCCAGGGAAAAGATGATTGTGGCTTGCATTAAGGTGCACATGTGGAATAGGTAAGAAGAGAGAGGTGCTAAGAAGCTGACATGATTTGCTGATGTGTTGGATGTGGGATGTGAGAAAGAGAAAGACTTTTCTTCTGGACAAGTGGAAAATGGAATTGTCATTTACTGAAATGGGAAAAAGTAACCCAGAGGAGCAGGTCTGGTGAAAATATCACTTTAGTTTTCATCATGTTAAGTTTGAGATGCCTATTAGACTTATAAGTGGAGATATTGGTTAGGCAGCTGAATATAGAGTATGGTGTTCAGGAAAGCCATCTGCACTGGAGGTTTAAATTTGGGAGTCAAGCATAGCAGTAGGCATTGACAATAGTAAGATGGGTGATGCAACCAAAGGAGGGAGTGGGTATGGCGAAGAGGTCCTAGAATCACCTCTGGGGCCCTCAAATGGAGGTCATGGAGATGAGAAAGATCCTCAAGGAGACTAAGTGATAGGAGGAGAGTCACTTTTCTCAAGACAGAGAGTTGTTCTAGAAACCAAATGAAGAGCTTCAAGAAAGAATAAATGCTCAAATATGTCAAATGCTACTGATGAGCATTGCTTTTGGCACTGAAAAGGACATTTAACTATCTTGACAGGGACACTTTCTGTGGAATGATGGGAATGAAAGCCTGATTAGTTCAACAAGGAGTAGGAGTAGGGGAAGTGGATAGAGTATAATCTTTTAAGGAATTTAACTGTAAAGGGGAGCAGAGAAATAGGTTATTGAGACATGTCAGCATGACTGTTTTTTTTTTTCCCCAAGCCATATTTCAATACTTAGGTGGAGGTATAAAGTAAGAGTTTAGTTGGATTTCATTAGGGAGAATTTTGCCAGGCATAAGTGCAACAGAGGGAGAGATAGGCAAGGGAGTCAGAGTACCTGTAAGGTAGTGATTATAATGATGGGCCACAAAATCCAGAGTGAGTTTAGGAAGTTGGGATTAGAATACATTAGGAGACTAAATTCCTCTTGTATTACAGATATGGTTCCATTTCTACCTAATTTATACATGGTCCTCACTGAGACCTACACAGTTCTCTAACATGAAGATTTTCTCTCACCTTTCAATGAACTTTAGAAGAATATAGTCTTGTGTTTTCAACTTTAACTGCCTTACTTATTATGTTGTCAGATCAGACAGCTTCCCTGTCATTATAACTAAGACACAACCAAATTAAAATCCTTATAAAACTCAAAGTGATGTGTGAAAAGTTCAGCAGCCAGGATTTGGAGAAAAAAAAAAAAAGGCTTTAGTGAGATAATTCTAAGCAAGATGGGTGAGTCAAGGTCACTAAAAATCTAGAGATTCTAAAAGGGGTAAGCCTTAAAAACTTTTGTTATTGTTATAAAGTCTTTAAATACATCGAGAAAAGTGAAACTTGTGTGCCCACTACTCAGCTCTATTGAATTCTGACATTTGCCATTCTTGGTTTTAGATTTATAAGATTTTAAAGTGTTCTTATAAAGAAAAACTTTTAAAAAAGTACCCATTTCTATGTCTGTCCCAGGGAAGCTCTGTTACTGATGTGAGCTCATCATATTCTGCAGGTGTGCTCAGGTTAGGATGGAAAGGTTGGGGACCTAGATCACTTTTCTGTACTGTCAGCACACAAATTTGCCTTAGAAGTGACTTGATACTTATAAGATTTAAAAATCATTTTTCTTTGCTGATAATATAAAATTTAGTTCTTTCCATTATGCAAATGGAAGTAGCCAATAATCTTCTACTTAGCCTGTGAATACAATCAGCCCATGAAAGCATGGCTGTTCTTATGTGCTGCTTTCTGTCTCCACACATAAACGGGGGAACGGGGAAACGTCATATAAATGTAGCCATATGTGGCCTTTTGTGTCCGGCCTTCTTTCACTTTACATAATGTTCCTGAGGTTCAACCACTGTAGCATTTATCAGTATCAAGGATTTATCACAGTATCAAGGATGCTCATATATAAAAACTGCCCCCTTACTTGTTGTTTCCTATCGCTCCTTGCTGCCAGGCCTTCATGTCTGGTGACTGATACCCGGAGGCAGGTGGAGTTTGCTGGAGAAGAGAACTCTGAGGAGGAGGGATTGGCATCGGCACCATGGAGCTCCCAGGGCTTAGAGATGGAGCAAAGTTGGCCTCACCTTGGGGAACCATTCCTGTAAATTGACACAAATTAATTTATGTTGATACACTATAAATTTATTAACCCCATAAATGAAAAAACCCAAAAGGATCTGTCACAATATATTTACAAATAACTTTCTTATTTGCCTTGTCTTGTGTCAGGCAATATATTTACAAATATCGCATTCAACAGAGCATGGAAAAAATTTAGTATCTTAAACTAGGGCAAGAAATCTCAGCATAAACCAATGAAATAAATGTAAGCTCGGAATAATGCTTTCCATTCACTAAGACGTTATTTGTGCAGCAGGATTGTATATGATCTATTTCTGTTCTTTTTTGCTTATGTGAATTTTTAAGTGTAAAAATATGTATGAACATACATGATGAATTACTTGTGTAGTAAATTAAACTTTTTTTTTTTTTCCCCCGAGATGGAGTCTTGCTCTGTCACCCAGGCTGGAGTGCAGTGGTGCGATCTTGGCTCACTGCAACCTCCACCTTCTGGGTTCAAGCAATTCTCCTGCCTCAGCCTCTCAGGTAGCTGGGATTACAGGCGCCTGCCACTGGGCCTGGCTAATTTTTGTATTTTTAGAGGAGACGGGGTTTCACCATGTTGGCCAGGGTGGTCTCGAACTCCTGACCTCAGGTGATCCACCCGCCTTGGCCTCCCAAAATGCTGGGATTACAGGTGTGAGCCACCGCGCCCGGCTGTAAATTAAATAATAGTTAAGAAAAAGCCACGTGTGGCCGGGTGCTGTGGCTCACGCCTGTAATCCCAGCACTTTGGGAGGCCGAGGTGGGTGGATCACCTGAGGTCAGGAGTTCGAGACTAGCCTGGCCAACATGAGAAACCCCATCTCTACTAAAAATACAAAAACGCCTGTTATCTCAGCTACTTGGAAGGCTGAGGCACGAAAATGGCTTGAACCTGGGAGGCAGAGGTTGCAGTGAGACGAGATCGCACCACTGCACACCACCCTGGGTGACAGAGCAAGGCTCTGTCAAAAAAAAAAAAGAAAAAGAAAAAGCCATGTATGAAAATAAAAAATAATGAGAAAGTTTTGTTAGCCACTCTTCCCCCCCTCCTTCCCCCTTTTAAGCTTTATTCAGACTTAATCTATACAACATGAAATTGACACACTGTAACTGCATAATGCAATGATTTTTAGTAAATTTATAGAGTTGTGCCGCCATTACCACAATCCAGTTTGGACATCTAATCATTCCCCAAATTCCCTTATAGAGTTGTGCCGCCATTACCACGATCCAGTTTAGACACCTAATCATTCCCCAAATTCCCTTCCTTGTACCTGTTTGTAGTCAATCCTTGCTCCCATCCCTAGTCCCAGGTAACCTCTGATCTACTTTCTGTCTCTAAAAGATTTGCTTTTTGGGGGGAAATTTCATGTAAATGTAGCCATACATGGTCTTCTGTGTCTGGCTTGCATTCACTTAGCATAATGTTTTTGAGGTTCAGCCACTTTGGAGCACTTATCAGTAGGCTATTCCTTTTTATTTAGGATGATGCTTATTAGCAGCCATCTGACCTGTCAAAACTCAACTGACCATAAAAGTAAGGGTTTACTTCTGAACTTTTTATTCTGTTCCAGTGATCTCTATGTTGTACCAGCACCACATTGTCTTGATTGTTGCGACTTTATGGTAATTTTTGAAATTAGGTAGATATCCAACTTTGTTCTTCCTTTTAAAAATTATTTTGGCTACTCTAGGTCCTTTGCATTTTCATATACATTTTAGGATAAGTTTGTTAATTTCTCCAAAAAGCATGCTGAAATTCTGCATTGAATTATAAGATCAATTTTGAGTAAATTACCAGGTTTTTTTCAGTCTTTTTTCTCTGATTTCATTTTGGATAGTTTCCATTGTTATATCTTTAAGTTCACTATTTTTTTCTTCTGTAATTTCTAATCTGCTGTTTATCTCATCTAGGGTTTTTTTTGTTTTGTTTTGTTTTTTAAATCTCAGACACTGTAGTTTTCATCTCCAGAAGTTTGACTTGGGTTTTATTTATATCTTCCATGGCTCTAGGCTCTACTTAACATATTCAAGCTTCCTCTTGCTTCTTGAACAAACAGAATTTATAATTTATAATTGCTTTAATGTCTCTGTCTACTAATTCTATCACCTGTGTAATTTCTGAATTTTTGATTGGCTGATTTTTCTCCTCATTACAGGTAGTATTTTCCTACTTCTTTGCATACCTGGTAGTTTTAAAAATCAGATTCCAGACCTTGTGAATTTTACCTTATTAGGTGTTGGATTTTTTTTCTCTTCTTTTAAATATTTTTGACCTTTGTCTGGGCTGTGGTTAGGCTACATGGAAACAGGTTAATTCTTTTAGGTCTTGTGCCTAATGAGACAAGAGCAGAGTTTAGGGCTTATTTTGCCCCACTACCGAGGCAAACCATCTCTGAGTGTTCTACTTGATACCCCCTGAATTATGAGGTTTTCTACTCTGGCTGGTAGGAAGAGGAACTGGCCCTGTATGAACTTTGAAGATGGTTCCCTCTTATCTTTTCAGGTGGTTTTCTCTGGCCTTGATTTGTACACACAAACACGCATGCCCGCGTGCGCGCATCAGCTCTCAGCTGAAGACTTGAATGGGACCCTCTGCATATCCTACAATTCTCTGTGTAGTGCTATCCTCTCTGGTATTGTGCCCTGCTACCTCTAGGTGTCTTGGCTTTCCCAGACTGCCAGCTCCACCTCCTCAGCTCAGGGAAATGGCCTGGCTCCTGTTGGATTCTCCCTCCCCGCAGCACAGTCTGGACAATCTCAAGAACTACTGTTGAATGTACTTTGTCTGTTTTTTGTTTATTTGTTTCAGATGGGAAAGTAACTCTGGTCCCTCTTACTCTACTGGCCCAAAGTAGATATCCATTAGAATTTAAAAGTGTAAAAATGTTTTTTAAAAAATGTTTAATGTTTAATGCTAGCACTGTGTTCTTTCTTTCTTTTTTTCCTGACAAAATACATCTCACAGTTAAATACTTTTAAGGAAGAGAAAGTTATAAAGGTGCAGAAAAAAGGATGCCATAGTATGATTGCCCATAATTTAGTAAAATTCCTTTACATCTTTATAAAATCCTGTAACATTCTGTGACCTGCTTGTTTCCCTCAACATTACATCACAAACATGTTTCTATGTCCTTGATGTCACTTTGTGAACACATGCATATATGCCTGTGTAATATCTACTGTGTTCTGTCACTATTAATGTAATTTTTTTGGTTATTTTTAATATAATGATTTTTTTCTCTTTTTACTTGGTTTATTTGGTTAAATAAAAAGAGAAAATCATTATATTTGCCAGAGATGTAGTTAATTTACTCGTTTTTTTTATTATAGGTTACATTTTTTTTTTTTTTTTTTTGAGACCGAGTTTCACTCTTGTTGCCCAGGCTGGAGTACAATGGCGTGATCTCTGCTCACTGCAACCTCTGCTTCAAGCATCTGGGTTCAAGCAATTCTCCTGTCTCAGCCTCCCGAGTAGCTGGCATTATAGGCTCATACCACCACACCCAACTAATTTTTGTATTTTTAGTAGAAATGGGATTTCATCATATTGGTGAGGCTGGTCTTGATCTCCTGACCTTGTGATCCGCCTGCCTCGGCCTCCCAAAGTGCTGGGATTACAGGCGTGAGCCACCACGCCCGGCCTTATAGGCTAGAATTTTAAAACCGTTTTAAATTTTCTGTGGAAGTTGACCTAACTTTAGACTTCACAGTTTTTTCTTTCACTAGATAGGGTTTATTTATTTTTGGTAAAGATTATATAAATGAAGCTACATATTTTCTCCTTGTCGCTTCCTCTATATGTAAGGTAAGTAATTTTGATTTAGAATATATGGGTCTCCATTTTTTTTTCTTTTTTCTTTTTTTTGAGGCGGAGTTTTGTTCTTGTTGCCCAGGCTGGAGTGCAATGGTGTGATCTCAGCTCACCACAACCTCCGCCTCCTGGGTTCAAGCAATTCTCTTGCCTCAGCCTCCTGAGTAGCTGGGATTACAGGCATGCGCCACCACGCCCAGCTACTTTTGTATTTTTAGTAGAGACAGGGTTTCTCCATGTTGGTCAGGCTGGTCTCGAACTTCCGACCTCAGGTGATCCACTTGCCTTGGCCTCCCAAAGTGCTGGGATTACAGGCATGAACCACTGTGCCCAGCATCCATTTTTTTTTTCATTTATGACTCTAGAGGGTGGGTTTTTTGTTTTTGTTTTGCCACCATCTTCACTTCTAATGTCTTTGCATTAACTCTCCATTTTAAACTATTTTGGTTGTGATCCTTAAAAGAAAAACTCTTGTATTAATGTGTTTTTAACCTCATTTATGATGAAATTAATTTCTTTTAGAAGAAATATAGCCTTGGTGTGGTGGCTCATGCCTGTAACCCCAGTGCTTTGGGAGGCTAAGGTGGGAGGATGGCTTAAGGCCAGGAGTTTGAGACCAGCCTGGACAATGTAGTGAGACCCGTTTCTATAAAAAATAGAATAGTTAGCCGGGCACAGTGGTACATGCCTGTAGTTCTAGCTACTCAGGAGGCTGAGGTGGGAGGATCACTTGAGACCAGGAGTTGGACACTGCAGTGAGCCATGATCACGCCACTCCTGGGCAACAGAGCAAGACCCTATCTCAAAAGATTAAAAAAAAAAAAAAAAAAAAAGAGAAAAATAAAAATAAAAATATGTGAGCGGGAAAAGATGCTTATCATATTCTGGATATTACTTTGTGGGGTCAACAGTAAACAATAAATAAGAGACTCCAAGTACAAGAGCAAGCTTTCTGATATTTCTTTCTGGCTTCATCTCACATTCTAACTGTTCATATTGGAATGAACAGTTTCCCTTAGAAGATGACTTTTTTGTGGTTTGTTTTGTTGTTGTTGTTGTTGTTGCTGTTGTTTTTAGTGTTGGTCTTTTAAATTTATTATTTTAAAAAAGACAATTTTTTAGAGAAGCTTTAGGTTCAAAGCAAAACTAAGTGGATGGTACTGAGATTTCCTAACTTTAGACTTTACAGTTTTTTCTTTCACTAGATAGGGTTTATTTTTGGTAAAATTATGTAAATGAAGCTACATACCCCTCCTCCATTCACTCACATGTATAACTGTCCTCATTATCAACTACCCCAGAGTCTATAGGTTACATTACGGTTCACTCTTGGTATTGTACAATCTATGGATTTGGACAAATGTATAATGATATGTACCCACCATTATAGTATCATAGAGAGTGGTTTCATTTCTCTAAAAATCGTCTGTGAAATGACCCAGTTTTAGCAGAAAGAACTAGCCTGTGGGTAATGAATTAGAGGAATACTTAGAGTTCTGGTCCCAGTTCTGCTACACACTGGACCTTGGATAACTTGCATCAATCAGATAATCTAGTTCTTCTAGATGAAAAATTTTACAGTTCTATCTTTGCCTAGACTATGTTTGTTTTTGTTTTTTTAGACAGAGGCTTGCTCTATTGCCCAGACTAGAGTGCAGTAGCGTGATCTTGGCTCGCTGCAACCTCCGCCTCCTGGGTTCAAGCAATTCTCCTGCCTCAGCCTCCCGAGTAGCTGGACTACAGGCGCCCACCACCACACCCAGCTGATTTTTGTATTTTTAGTAGAGATGGAGTTTCGCCATGTCGGCCAGGCTGGTCTCAAACTCCTGACCTCAGGTAATCCACCTGCCTAGGCCTCCCAAAGTGCTGGCATTACAGGCGTGAGCCACCGTGCCCAGCTGGGCTAGACTATGTTAAGTTTCCCTGCTAGACCAACCATAACTAGCATTGCAGACATGTGACAGTGGCAACTAGAATTAGAATTCATACTTTCATTCATTTATTTCTTCAAAGATTCATTAAGCATCTATTCACTGTGAGACCACTGTGCTAAGCACTGGAGAAACAATGGTTAAAAAGGTCACACTCTGCTCACGTAAGGAACTTGCTATTTAAAAAGAAAGGCAGCTAGGTTAACAAGTGGTTTTAAGACAGGGTGTTGACTACTTTATGATTGGGAGTGTCCAGGAAGACTCTGCAGAGGAGATATATCTGAGAGGAGGGAAGAATAGGAATGAGAAGTAAAGGAAGAATACTTTAGATAGAGTATAGACAATGTTCAAAGCCCCTGGAAGTAAAAGAGAACAAGGTCTGTGCTGTTTCTCGGAACTCAGAGTTTACTGTAGCTGGAACACAGAACTATAAAAGGGAACATGGAGTTGATGAGTCTAGGTTTGTACAAGTTAAGTTTGGGGTGTTGGTGGAAAATGCAAGTATATGTTTCCAGTAGGCAGCTGTACATATGAGCTGAGAGATACTGTTTAGAGATAGAGAATAAAGTCACTAGCATGTAAAGGTCCCTGAAACCCCAAAAGGAGAAGAGATCACTGAGGAGGAATAGGTGGAAGAGGATTTTATTGTAGTTCACAGAAAAGAAGTCTCTAAATGGGCTTGAAGGAACCCATGAAGTGGGCAGATACACTAAAGAAACCAATTTCTCATATTTACTTTGAATACTGCCTTAATAGAAAACAATTTCTGGCCAGGCACGGTGGCTCACGCCTGTAATCCCAGCACTTTGGGAGGCCGAGGTGGGTGGATCACGAGGTCAGGAGATTGAGACCATCCTGGCTAACATGGTGAAACTCCATCTCTACTAAAAATACAAAAAAATTAGCCGGGCGTGGTAGTGGGCGCCTGTAGTCCCAGCTACTCGGGAGGCTGAGGCAGGAGAATGGCGTGAACCCGGGAGGTGGAGGTTGCAGTGAGCCGAGATCACGCCACTGCACTCCAGCCTGGGCGACAGAGCGAGACTCTGTCTCAAAGAAAAAAAAAAAAAAAAAAGAAAAAAGAAAACAATTTCTAAAGTCTGATTCTGTTCTTTTACACTCATTATCATAGCATGGTAGTCTAGAAAAGTTTCTTGTTTTCAGAAATACCAGAAAACTTACTCTGCCATTACTATGACTTTCATGTTCCTTCATTTACTTTGGGCCTACATTAAGTGGAAAGAGGCTAAGGCAAAGGATATAAAGCAAAGCTAATGCAGTTATCCGTTGGTTTTACTGTCATCACTTAACACAGAAATCAGCAAGCTTCTTCTGCAAAGGGCCAGATAATACATGTTTTCAGTTTTGTAGGCCATAAAGTTTCTTTAACTACTCAACTCTTCTATATGAAACCAGCCATAGATAATACATAAAGCAGTAAGTATGGCTGTGTTCCATTAAAACTTTATTTACCAAAACAACTGGGCTGGATTATGGACCTTAATTTGTCAAACCTGGAAACATGTTGGAACACATATATTTTGGTACTTTTGTATGGCCGATTTCTTAGGAATAGAAGCATAAAACCAACAAAGGCCAAAGAGCCTTTTTATCTGGATTTCCTTAAGCCACAATAAACTGTTTTTGTTTTGAAAAGGCTGGAACTTTTCCAGAACTTCATTTTGTGCCAACACAAAACCTGGTCCTCTACCAGACTGCTGATCAATTTGGAGCAAGTTTATAATTAAGAGTGGTGACAGAAATTAAAAACATTGCATCTTTAAACATTCTTACTCTGTCCAGAAAAGTTAAACATTTTTCCAGTATTATTTTGAAGCAGTCCATGGAAGAACTGACAGCCCTGCCATTTCATTTCAGTTTGCAACTGGATGAAACCACTGTTCTCTTCAATGCACTCAGCATTTGGGTTTTGTTTGTAGTATGAATGCTGACTTTATAAAAAGCAAATTCTTATTTTGTGAAAATATTTTTGTCAATCAGAAGTTGGTCTGGAAGAAAAACCCAGGCACCAGATACTCATGATAGGTGGCAACACATCTTTCCCATTATGGTACGGGGAAAGAGGAAGCTCCACCCACTCCATTATTTCAGCTCACTTTGTTCTATGCTGACACAACTCAGATCAAAAGGCTAGACCCAGAACTGTGAAAGAAACTTGTCAATTTCATGAGAACCGGGGCACTGAAGGACCGCCTTTCCAGGTGGCTTTGTCAAGGAATGAAAGCAGAATATAAAGTTCTCCTTTCTTGACTTTCCAGAGGAAACTTAAAAGTACATGCCTGAAAATGGACAGAAATACTATTTCTATTTTTTAATAGAAAAAATCCTTAGAATAATTTCATGAGGAATTTATTAATGTTTGGCTTACTTCTAGTTAGCTTTTTCCCCTAATGCATGAGATAAATCTTTTGATTTAGGGCTCTGCAATTAATATTATGAATGCTGCTAAAAACCCATTTGCTGTTTTAGTCAGGTTGTCATTTTGGAGGAGGAATGGGGATGCAGATGACTACACAAGTCTTCTAATGTTGGAGGAAGTACTTCCACAGGCTAAAGTGAAAAAGCTTTGTCAAATTCTCTGCATACAGAAATTGTAAGACACATGGAAATAAAACTCTTTTGAAGGCCATACTCTTGTTCAGGCAACCATATAATTAAAATATGGATTTATAATCCTTTTCTCGCCCACACAGATAGTGTCACTGATATAAACCAGCCAAAGATGACTTCATTGTCTTGAGGACAAAGAAACTGATGTGGCATAATTTTGATTAAAATCTCTTTAGAGTTCTGGTGCTCTCTGGCACAAGTCTTTAGATACTTAATTTGATAGTCAAAGGATTTTAGTATTTGCTACCATCAGAATGGAAACTCTAAATTGATTTGGCTGTCAAAACTGATAAGCATACTGCCATGTCAAAAATCTCTGTATAACTTTGACATTTTATTCAAGTCAAACAGCAGCTTTCTCATTGAAATTCATTTTTAAGCAGCCTTAAAATTTACCTCTTTTCTTTCATTTATATAATCAAGGGATTTATTTCAATTATTTTTCAGGAATTGACAATTAATTTTGCATAAAAGTTTGATTAAACAGAGTAGACTAATCAGATGTTCATCACTGCCACTACCTATCAGAACCTGAAAGTGACAGAAAAGAAATAAGAAAAGATATTATCACCCAGGACAAAGAGAATGGAAGACAGTGCCAAAGAAAGACTAAAAAAGAAAAAAGCTTTTGGAAGCCAGAAAGTTGACTGACATTGGAGAGGAAGCTGCAACAGCAGCAGCTGAGAGTGATGACACCAATGAGTAGTCTGAGATACTCTGTGGAGATAAATTATTCTTATGCAAACTGGCAAAAACAAAATCTCCCACACAATGAAAAAACTACATGCGAATTTTGAATTAATGTACTAAAATCCATTGTGTGGGGAAGACTTTCATTGAATTCTCATAGAGATCAATGAGAAAAATTAAAAAATAAGAGAATGGGCCGGGTATGGTGGCTCACCTGAGGTCAGGAGTTCAAGACCAGTGTGAGCAACATGGTGAAACCCTGTCTCTACAAAAAAAAAAAAACAAAAATTAGCTGGGCACGGTGGCACATGCCTGTAATCCTAGCTACTCGGGAGGCTGAGGCAGGAGAATCGCTTAAGCCCAGGAGGTGGAGGATGCAGTGAGCTGAGATTGCACCATTGCACTCCCAGCCTGGACAACAGAGCGAGACTGCATCTAACAAAAAAGAAAAAAAAAAGGGGGAACGTACTTTGCATACAAAATGCTCAAAAGGTCCTTACAGATCCTCTAATTCAATCATCTCAGCTAAAAAAGGGAGATAAGCCTCAAACCAGTCAACCATTTAGTGTCAAAAGCTGAGTCTGAATCCTGGGTCTCCAGACTCCCACGTCAGTGTCTTTCCTCTTCCACACACTATTTTAATGTCCAAGCACAGACATAAAGATGGAGAGAGACCTAAGCCTGTATGGATTACTTAGAACAACATAAAGTTGTGACCTTCCTACCTGCTCCTGGATACTGGAAGACATTCTGCTGCATCTGAGGATTGATTCCAGTGCCAAACTGTCCTCCTATGTTTCCTGTCATGCCTCTGCTCACCATGCTGTTGCGGTTGGCCAAGGATGCTTCAGGATTTGCTGCTAGTTGTGAAAACGGGCTGGTAGAAGCAGGTGGGGTTCCTGGATTTGTACCATAGTTTGGTGGATAGGGGAATTGCTGTGGAGCACCCTGAGGAAGACGGGGGTTCCCCATTTGAACTGGTAGTCCAGATGAGGGAGGGAGGTTGTTCCCAAAGCTTTGCTGCCTCATAAGCATGGCTCTTTGCTGCTGTATTAGCTGCCTCTGTCGGTGCTGTTGACTGTACAGTTCCCGCTGACGTTGTGCCAACATTTGAGCATTCAGGGGTGGCTGAAAAGCAGGAAAAAACTCACTTACTAAAATTATTATAATCACTATCTATCCTGGAAAGTTCATTGGATTAAGGCCTACTTGCTTGGGGCAATAAAGTACATAGCAATTATCACTGTACAAGGGAAACTAAAACAGAAAAGGAACAAAAACCTCTTAAGTAACAATCACAGGAGAAAAAATGAATTAAGTATATTTTACAGATTAAAAGTAGTCAAGAAATGCTAAACAATATCTGACCATTATAAATGAGAACGCAAATTCTCAATGAAAAGTCACACAGAACTGAAAAATTCAAAGAAAGTATGTATTGATTAGTATTATAATATTGGCCATGAACATTGTTAAGAGAAACATGAAGACCATAAGGAAGTGAAAGAAAATGTGCTTGATGACTTCTGTCCTATCCTTCATTAGATCATTAGAAGACTTTTTCAATTCCAAAAAATTTACTGTGTTTCTGGTAAAGAGAAACTTAGTTTTTCCACTTTTCTCACTGAGAACATTATCCCAGTTTATTTAAATGAATAACATGTGATTATAGGTGATTTTAATTTTCATTATACTTTTCTATATTTACCAAATTATTACGATGAACATGTACTACCTTTACAATTAGAAAAAACCTACAAATACCATTAAAAAAGGAAGATTCTGAAATCTAGGATCCAATGCCTAAGAAATTATCACTTAAAAAGAAAATAAGTAGAAATAAAATAGTAAAAAGAAATAAATGGAAACAGCTATTTTGTATTATTATTGGAGTTTCAGATTATTCCAGGCATTAGTGTAAGTGGTTTCAGTTATAATATTATGGATGAGGAAAGAAGTGGTCAAATTAGCTTAAAATCATTTTTTCAATGTAACATGGCATATCAATAAAGCCTTCTTCAGAAAATGTCAATTCAGATTGAGAATCTGGTTAAAGCATACAGCTCTTGCCAACTACATATAGTCTAATCTAGAAGAAACTATGAAATAAGACTTTCTGATAGGAATTATCTTTATGTGAATCCAAAAGTGGGGTCTTGTTTCCTTACAACCTAATTACTCCTGAATTAGCTAGCACTAAGATTTATAATTTGTAAGACAGAGAAACTGAAATCTGGATCCATGAAGATGTCAATATCTGCTGCTTACCAACAACTTCAGTCAATACAGTCATGTGATGCATAAAGACATTTCAGCAATAAGACATTTTAGTAATAAGACATTTCAGTTGCACACAATGGACCAAATTCGGTGGTCCCATAAGATTATAATACTACAGTATTTTACTGTACCTCTTCCACGTTTAGGTATGTTTTGATATACAAATACCATAACAATTGTCTACAGTATTCAGTAGAGTAACATGCAGTACAGGTTTATAGCCTAGGAGCAATAGGCTATACACATAGCCAGGATGCTAAGTAGGCTATACCATGTAGGTTTGTGTAAATACACTCTATGACCTTTGCACAATTATGAAGTTGCCTAATAACACATTTTTCAGAACATATCCCTGTCTTTAAGTCATGCATGGCTGTATTTATCTCTTTAATAATACAGGTGCTGGCTTTATTTGCTCCTAATCCATCTAGTTCCATATTGTGGAGAGGAAAAGAGTATTGTTTAAATCCTCTCTAAAATTCCTTATCTCCAAGATTTTTACATCAACTTTGTTATGAAATAAAAGTAAGTAGTTGAAACAAAAAATTTTTAGGTATGTATGGGGTAAAGTAGAGAGTGAGTACTAGGTAACATTTAGAAGTCCACCTAGTTCTTTTTATGTTTAAAGTTCTAATGGCTCTGGGTTTATTAAAAAAAAAAAGGGATTTAAAAAATAAATACAAGCTAGAAAATGCTGATGTTCAAATTGAACATAGTACACAAGATAGTTAAGACAGCTTAGCAATGTGACTGGGTTTTGATCAGGTTTCGGGTACCGTTCACACAGTTTCGTATCAGAGGCTTCCTGTTACTGGTGCTATTCGCTACAGAAATAAGAGTTTTTTCTACTTAGTCATCTGGTATCCAATAACAATGACAATAATAACAATAAAACAAAACAAAGCACCATTTGCTTTAGATCAAATATCAGTAAGAGGTATCAAAAGTAGATTATTAATTCATTCTCAAAGAAAACTACACTACAAACATCATTAAAAGATCAGCTCACAGACCATTTCAAAGACACTCAAGTCAACACTTTAAGAAACACTATGTGGGTTAAAGAAGTACTAATGACGTCTGGTTTTCTCACATTACCTGAGGTGTAATTTGCTGTTGCATGCCTGATCTCATATTGATGCCAACAGGAGCAGTTGCTGCAAACTGGTTTAAGATAGCTTGCCGATTTTGGTGTATCAACTAGAGAAAAATGGAAACAATAAGATATATTTCTACACACAAGCATAACACGGGCCTTATAAAGTAACACAAACTTTCTATTGATTACTAAAAAGTTTTAGTGTTGCAGGTTTGGTTAGATTATTTCCTATGTTTATTTTCCAAAAGGCTAGTAGTTCCCAATGTTTATAAAACACTTATTGCCTCCAAAACACTATGGCAAAGTATTTAAAAGTAGGATACAAACACACTGCACTCCAGCCTGGGTGACAGAGCGAGACTGTCTCAAAAACAAACAAACAAACAAAACAACAAAAAAACATGTTAATAGTTATTTTAGATAAGTGCTGCAATGGGGAAGAAGAAGTACCAGCCCTAGGTCTTAAAATATTATAAATGTAAAAGCAGGTATACAGTAAGGGCACATTTTACAAAGGTCTGGAAGATGAAGGGAAAGTTGAGCAAGCTGGATGGTATTCTCACTTGGAGGTACTATGTCTGGTGGATACATATTTGGGGAAAATCCAGTATGATTTCATTAGCTAGACAGTATTATGTAAGAAACAAATGGTCTGAAAAAATGGATTATTTATTTAACTAGAAAAAGTAATTACTTTAGACCAGCATTTCCCAAATTGGTATGCTAAAGAACAATGCTAAAGAACATTGTTCTGCAGGATATTAATAGATGTGCTGGGAAAACAGCATGCTGTGCTGTATTAAGTACTGGAAATGATGGGTTACACAAGGTAAAACAGATTTATTTACTGCAGAAATTTTATAAGCCTTTAATTGGCCAAAAGCACATTGTGGATCGCCAAGAAGGGATATACTATGCAATTTATTTATCATGAACCTTTTTTTCTAACATCTAACCATTAATATCTATCTCTCAGAACAATTTTCTGTGAATACTGGTTTGGAAGATCAGTCTAGACCAGGATTAGGGTTCCAGGTCATAGGCATGCCAGGCATGCCTTAACAGTATCTGGTAACAAAAGAAGTATTCTTGGAAATGAGATTTTCTTGAAAACAATGTATAGCTTAAAACATTTCTTCTTCAATAATTTCATATGAATAAACTATTCCGGAAGATAACAGTAACAATAATATTAATACTATTTTATGTTTATATACTTTGTAAAACACAAATTATATATACTTATATATCATAAATATATTTCAATATATTATACATAAACTAGAAAGCCTACGAAAGTTTTATAAGAATCCAAAGAGCTATGAACAGTGATTAAATCTCTTGTCATCAAATAGCTCAACTCTTAATTCTAACTTCAGTCATTTTCTCACTCCCATTAGATCAGAAAACAAACCAATTTTGGGGAAAAGCTCATTATAATATAAATGTTAAAATGACAAATCTAAGGCATTGTGGAATAAGTTAAAACTTTTTGAAGTTCTGAGTCACTTCAAAAAGAAAGATACCAACTTTATAGTTTTAAAAGTCAAAAAGACTCTTAAATACCAAAACTGATATACTTCTTAAACTTGAAAGACCAGGAACATAAATTTAGATAAACCAAGTTAATTTTATAAAGATTTACTTAAAAACTCAGTACATTCAAGATACTGTATAAAGTTTGGAGGTTACAAAGGTGAGCAAATTCCTGTCCTTCTAGGAGTTCCGTTCCCTATTGAGTGGCAGAAGCCAACGCACAACAGTAAAATGCACAGGTGCTTTGTCTGCATAGACGGACACATCTACGGCAGCACAGAGGGAGCAACTCATTCAGTCTAGGGATGAAGACAGGGACCAAGAAGCATGAGTGAGCTCAGCTTGCATTCATCTTGAAGGATGAGAATGCAAGGTGGCAAGGAGGAGGGCAGAGTTAACTTGAGGCAGAGGGAACAGCAAGTAAAAAAACAGGAGAGGAGGCAATGAGGCCAGGTAAAAATACATTCCAAACATATAGCTTTATATATTCTTTGAATTGTGAGATAATGTACAAATGAAATGGGTAGGGATGGAGGAAAGATGCCTGACAAGTAGTAATAGGCTCTTTTTTAGAAGTAGAAGGAATTATTCTAAATAGCATAAATCTACAAGTACTTTCTGTTATAGGAAACCTGGTCTATTTCTGCCCTTGAATTAACCCTTGTTCATTTTTTCCTCCCCTTGACTATCTGTGTGTGCAACCTGACTAGTGCTGTGTACACCTGTCTTATTTTGACCTGCCTCTTCTCTCCAATTATTAAAATGCTTTGTTTTTCAACAAGTAGGTCAAGTTCCACTTCTTCCAACATAGCCTTCCCAAAAGGATCGCTACATTCCTCAGCTCCTTGGAAATCTTAACTTTCAGAGAGGTGGGGAGTGGGAGGAGATTAGTTGTTAGTCCTTAGACACAAACACAGGTTAAAAGGCTTGTTGTAGAAGAAAAGGAAATGTGGGGCTTGTGGCCAGCGGAAGAGGGCAAACCCATTCCTAAGTATAAAATAAACACACACAGTTCAGGCTGGCTGTCACTTTGTCTGCCGGAATGGATTTTCTTCCCAGTGCTTTACCAAGAAGTCCTCCTATAGGAAACCTAAAAGATGATTATCTAGCCTAGAGGTTCTCAACTAGGGGTGATTCTGCCAAACAAGGGACATCTGGCAATATCTGAAGACATTTTCGCTGACACAACTAAGAGAGGAGGTACTGCTGACGTCTCGTGGGCAGAGGCCAGGAATGCTGCTAAACATCCTTAATGCACACAACATCTCCCCCATAACAAGAATTACCCAGCCCCAAATGTTAAAATGCCAAGGTTGAGAAACCCTGAGCTAGCTACTGCACAAATTCTTGCAAAGACAAAAGTATTCTTTAAAGAAACTTATTGTCCTATTGGGCATTTTTCATTGCCAGAAACCTGAAGGTAAAATGTTTCTCTCTTTTTTTCTGTCCTTTAATCCTAATTCTGTTTTCTGATCACTTCTATTCTCTATAATATATAAAAGATGATCAATAGTGGTTCTTATAATGTCAGATACGTACATTTGTTCAGTACCCTAACACATACGTATCTGGACTTGACTTGTTTTAAGATTGCTAAGTATACCATATTTGTTTATGTGTCTCACTGTCACTTTCTCTTTATATTATTCTCCTCTTGATAGTTATGAAGATCATGATCCTTGCTGGGGAAGAAAACAAAACTGGAGTGGAAAAATCGTATCTTTTGTCAGCTAATGATACCATTTTCTTTTTCTTTTTCTTTTTTTTTTTTTTTTGAGACGGAGTTTCACTCTTGCTGCCCAGGCTGGAGTGCAACAGTGACATCTCAGCTCACTGCAACCTCCACCTCCTGGGTTCAAGCGATTCTCTTGTCTCAGCCTCCCAAGTGGCTGGGATTACAGGCATGTGCCACCATGCCTGGCTAATTTTATATTTTTAGTAGAGACAGGGTTTCTCCATGTTGGTCAGGCTGGTCTCAAACTCCCGACCTCAGGTGATCCACCTGCCTTGGCCTCCCAAAGTGCTGGGATTACAGGCATGAGCCACTGTGCCCAGCCTATGATACCATTTTCTAAAAGCAGCAGGTCTACCCATTTTTGCTGTTGTTCTTTTTCCCAAAATAGAATTTTAGAAGTCCTTTACTGATATTACGGATATATTTCTTGGGTCTTTGCTTATTTGAGGAGTAAGCGGGTATTACACCTAAAGGCTTGTAACTTCGTATTGCTTTTTAATCATCAGCTCCTTCCTTCTTGTTGCTCTTTTTAAAAATCTCAACCAATACAGATACACTAGTTTCCTAGGATGTTTTTCATCTCTCTCCTCCCAACTGGGGATTTATTCATTACTGTGTAATTGAATTTAAAATGTTACAATCTTTTTACTCCTTTACACAAGGAGTAAAAAGTATATACCAGCCAGTGAGATATACTCATGGCCAATAAATGATATCTATTTATATATATATATTTTTTCAACATCTGTTTTTAAACTGACCTTAAAATTCACCAAAAAGAAGGAAACTATAATGTATATCTGAGTACACCCGTTTTCTTTTCTCAAATCACTAGGCATGGTGCTAAATTCTTGCTATGAGATGCTTACAGTCTCCTGTATTTGGGAAGAGGGAAGGAGAGGATATGACCAATAAGCGAACAGATGGGTGGGTATCAATCCAATGAGGTAAATATATTATGAATAGCAGATTACAAACTGGGTGTATTCTGGACACTAGTCCTTTGCCAGTCATATGGGGTTGGAAACATCTTCTTTGAGTCTTTGTCTTGCCTTTTAACCTTGCTTATGGTGTCTTTTGTCTTCTAGGTCGTAAATTTTAATGTAAACATTTACTTTTTCCTTTATGTCATTTTAAAGAGGCTACAGAGATATTTTCATATTCACATTTAGGTCACTAAAACACTTAGAGTTTATTTTTGTGTCTTGTATAAGATGAGGATCAAATTTAATTTTTTCCTCCTCATGAACAGCCAAATGTACCAGCATTTATGATGCACGCCATTCTTTCCCCATTGTCACCTCTGTCTCTTATTAAGTCTCTCAATATGTCTGGGTGTGTTTCTGGGCTTTCTATTATGTAGAGCTATTATGCAGAACCGTCTATTATGTAGAACTCTATTATGGTAGAACTATTTATCCTCATGCTAGTTCCACACTGTTTTAATTTTTTTTTTTAGAGACAAGGTCTTGCTCTGCCACCCAGGCTGGAGTGAGTAGCACAATCATAGCTCACTGCAGCCTTGAACTCTGGCTCAAGAGATCCTCCCAACTTAGGCTCCTAAGTAGTTGGGACTACAGGTGCACATCACCACACCTGGCTTTTTGTTTTTTGGTTTTTTTTATTTTTGGTAGAGACAGAGTCTTGCTATGTTGCCCAGGCTAGTCTCAAACTCCTAACCTCAAGCAATCTTCCTGCCTACGCCTCTCAAAATGGGGGGGTTATAGGTGTAAGCCATCACATCCAGCCTGGTTTAATTTTTAAAGCTTTGTTTTAAATCTTGATATCGGTAGAGCAAGTATACCCTCATTTTATTAATACTTCAAGATTGTATTGATGCTTCTAAAACAAATTTAGCATCTATTTGTCAAATTCCATGTTGAGATTTTATTGGAATTCCACTGAATTTACTGATTGAATTTGGAACAACTGTCATCTTTTTACAAGCGACAACCAATTAGGAGACATAATTTCTTTCATGAGTATTTTTTTTTGGATGTTCTTTTTGCCTTTCAATTATGACTTCCACATCTTCTAAGTTTTGAACAGTGTGAATTTCTTTTTTCTTCTTTTTTTTTTTTTTTGAGATGGAGTTTCGCTCTTGTCACCAAGGCTGGAGTGCAATGGCACAATCTTGGCTCACTGCAACCTCCACCTCCTGGATTCAAGCGATTCTCCTGTCTCAGCCTCCTGAGTAGCTGGGAACACGCCACCACACCCAGCTAATTTTTGTATTTTTAGTAGAGACGGGGCTTCACCATGTTGGCCAGGCTGGTCTCGAACTCTTGACCTCAGGTGATCCGCCCACCTCGGCCTCCCAAAGTGCTGGGGTTACAGGCGTGAGCCACCGTGCCTGGCCTGAATGTATTTTTAATTAATTTTCTAGTAAAAAGAATTGCCATTAATTTTTGTTTCTTGTTCTTTTATCTAAAATCCTTGCTGAACTACTCTATTTGTTCTAAGTTCCCTATAGATTCTTTTGGATTTTCTGTTTTTTGTTTTGTTTTGTTTTGTTTTTGAGATGGAGTCTTGTTCTGTCACTCAGGGTGGAGTGCAGTGGCACAATCTTGGCTCATGGCAACCTCCACCTCCCAGTTTCAAGCAATTCTCCTGCCTCAGCCTCCCCAGTAACTGGGATTACAGGCATGCACCACCATGCCCAGCTAACTTTTGTATTTTTAGTAGAGATGAGGTTTCACCATGTTGCGCAGGGTGGTCTTGAACTCCGGAGCTCAGGCAACCCACCCGCCTCGGCCTCCCAAAGTGCTAGGATTACAGGCGTGAGCCACTGTGCCCGGCCAGATTCTTTTGGATTTTCTATATAAATAGTTGTATTATTTGCATATAATTTTGTTTCTTTCTCATGTTTGCTTTTTTTGTATTTCAAAATGACTTAATTTTTAGTGCGCTAATGGTGTTCTTTTTTTTGTCTACACTGACATGAACTTAGTCACAGACACAAAAAATACAACCTGTTATTTAATAGGATTTAAGGCAGGAGAAAGGGGAGATATATTAATACTACCTCAGTTCACTATTTTATCCCAACTGTGAATTTAACTATATAACTTTAAACAATATATTTAAACCTCAATTTCTTGATTTAATCAGGCACTGTTATTGCCAACCCGCAGCCATTTACTCTCCCCTTCTTTCTTGAAGACAGAACAGATTTTGTTCAGCTGACCATCCCAAATCACACAACTCCAGGGGTAATCCAGGAGTATTCTCAGTCAGTCTTTGCGAACCATTGGTTAAGGGTGTACATGTGACTCAGTTCTGACTAGTCAGACATGTGAAGTATTTTTTCCCCCTTTTTACTTTTTTTTTTTGTTCCTTTTTTTCTTTTTTTGGCGGGGGATGGGGTGGGAAGACCTTCTGGAAAAAGTTTCCTGGCTTTTGGAAAGAGGTACATAGGAAAGAAACAGTCCCTTTTCTTCTGCTAGTTATAGTTTTGTTTGCCTACGGTATTTGTAATCATGGCATGCCAAGGATTGCAGAGCAAAAAGAGAAAGAACCTGGGTCCTTGATAACATCCCTGAATCTCTGAAGTAACCACACCTTGGTCTGCTTTCATTTTGGATTGTCAATTGGGTCAAAATATTTTCTTTATTGTTTTACTATGCTGAGTTGATCTTTTTTTCTTTCCTTGTGGCTGAAAGCATCTTAACCAAGACACTGACTGAGAACCTTGGCCAGACCTGCTCACAGAAAGCCCTTAAGTGGACACATGTAAAACTCCTAGTACTTGCAGTGCAAGTGAAGCTGAGCGACCTAGTGCTGAAACAGTAAGAACTTATGGCTTAAAAGAGAAGGAACAGGCCCCGATATGTGGCTCGTTAGGTAGCAGAGTTACTGTCTTAGTTTGCAGTAGAAGTTGTTTTTGCGTATAGACATACATGGGGCTTATAACATGGTGAGCCCCAAATTCTGTGTTTCTTCAACTTGGTGGATACTTTACTCTGTTAGGTTACCATGCCATCTCTGGATAGGCATCCATGAGATTTAAGGGAAGCAAAGAGCAGCAACTTTCACTTATTTGCATCTTATTCTCATACCTTTGCAGGGCTTCTCTGCTTATCAGCTGTTTTAGGAGCAAATGGAAGCCAAAACAACTTTTTTTTTCTGAATCAAGCATGAATCATCATTCCATTCATTCATGAACCTGACCTAGACCCTTGGTCTGGCCTTGCTCATTGACCCTTTAATATTAGGCAGTATTTACAGAACTTTACATTGTAAAATGAGAAACTAGCACACCTACACTTTCCTTTACTTTTTTGGTTTAGCCCTTAATCACATACTGCTTGCAGCGTCACTTAACTTTTCAGGTATGTAGTCAAAATGGTTTTCAGGTCTTGTAGTCAAAAAGCCAAGCAGTTGCCTGTTTCTTTTATTCCTTGTATTCCTTATAGTACCTAGTGTAGTCCCCTTAAATATGTTCTGTGAAAAATTAAACACGGGGAAACTGTTAAGCATTTCTTATTCTGGTGCCCTCTATCTAAAGATGAATGGAAAGCTACAAGAAGTAGTTTATCTTCAATTAATATCTCAGAACATTTATGATTCCTTCTCTTTCTCTTTTCCTCTCTCTTCCTTTAATTCTTCTTTGAATCCTTTATTCTACCCTAGCATTTAAAAAATTATTCCTTTTATTGTTATTCTATCATTTAAAAAATTTCCCTTTCTTAGTTCTCCTTTTCTCTTCTCTTTCGTCATCTTCCTTTTTTTAAACAGAATGGAAGCACATTTTATATTACATATTATGTTTATTGAATGCAACTTTATAGTAATAGCTAATATTTATCAACTGCTACAATATGCCAGGCATTATGCTACAAGCTTTACATGTTTTGTCTCATTTATTCCATACAACCACCAGTGAGGGAAAGGAGTTCTTTATTAGACTCTTTTTATAGATGAGGAATTAGAGGTTTTAAAAGGTAAATCATTTGATTAAGGCAACCCACTTAAGTTTGGAACTGGGACTTGAAACTAGAACTCTTAAAACCATTACATCATACTGCCTTTCCAGTATAATTTATCTCCTTCTTTCTCTTCCTTCCTGAATTAGTAAGTCTCCAGGGAACCTCTTTAAATACTTTTATAAAAATTCAAGGCAATATACAAATATGGTTTTAGAAACTACAAGATTCATAACAAGCAGCAACAATCTACAGCTCAGGTCCCCCTTCCCACAGCTGGCTTTTTTTTTTTTTTTTTTGAGACAGAGTCTTGCTCTGTCACCCAGGCTGGAGTGTAATGGCACAATCTCGGCTTGCTGCAACCTCCACCTCCCGGGTTCAAGTGATTCTCCTGCCTCAACCTCCAGAGTAGCTGGGATTATAGGCACGTGCCACCATGCCCGTTTTTTTTTTTTTTTTTTTTTTGTACTTTTAGTAGAAATGGGGTTTCATCATGTTGGCCACGCTGGTCTCGAACTCCTAACCTCAAGTGATCCACCCGCCTTGGTCTCCCAAAGTGCTGGGATTAGAGGCGTGAGCCACCACGCCCGGCCCACAGCAGACATTTTTAACTGTTTGCTCTTGTGGTCCTTAATGATTATCTCCATATCTGTTGCTTATACAATCTTAAATATTTATGCCACTACGCCTACTCATTTCCTGTCATGAGAGAGAAGATTTAACTCACTCACAACTCCCAGGCCCCTATTCTCCTTCATTCTCCTAATATAGTAACATCACTGGGCATCAATCTCTCCAACCTCAATCAATATAAATAAACTTTATTTTCTTTTCCAATAATCATAAACAGTATCTCTTGATGCTCTACTTTGTAAATTAAGCTGTTTCTCTTAATTTAATAATTGTATGATGTTCCCCTTAAATAGTTTGTATCTCAAAAAATAAAAATTAAATTGTTCTTTAAGTTATAGGTCTCTAAGTGCTTTATTAGGAGCCTAATTGAATGAATTGATTTAATTGAATGAAAGGTCTTTAATTGAATGAAAAGGTCCCTTATCCCTTTCCTAGGAGAGGAAGGATGGCTCTTCAAGTCTTTCATGAAAGTTCTGGGAGTGGACTTGACACTTTTATTGTAGCAACTGGGCTGCCTTGCAGAGAGATTTGGTATATACCTTTAAAAAGTATCAACTGCTGGCAGGGTGCGGTGGCTCACGCCTGTAATCCCAGCACTTTGGGAGGCCGAGGTGGGCAAATCACAAGGTCAACAGATCGAGACCATCCTGGCCAATATGGTGAAACCCTGTCTTTACTAAAAATATAAAAATTACCTGGGAGTGGTGGCACACACCTGTAATCCCAGCTACTCGGGAGTCTGAGGCAGGAGAATTGCTTGAACCTGGGAGGCGGCGGTTGCAGTGGGCTGAGATAGCACTACTGCACACTAGCCACACTAGCCTGGTGACAGGTGAGACTTCGTCTCAAAAAAAAAAAAAGTATCAACTGCTAAACAAGAGCACTTACCTGCTGTTGTCCCTGTAATCGCTGCTGTAGTTGAAGTCGAAGCTGGTTAGGTGCAGCCGGAGGTCTGTTTAGAGTTTGCCTGGGCTGCATGCCCATGCCAGGTGAAAAAGCACCTCGGGGAGGTGTTACTTGAACAGGCATCGTCCCCAGTGAAGGTTTTTGCCTGACCATGCCTTGGAAAGGGCTAGGGAGATTGGCAGTAGGAGAAGGAGAAGAGTAAGGCTGGGAATAAAGGTTGGGTCTTTCTTCCATGATCAAAGGTGGCGTTGCTTGTTGTGGTGGAAATCTCTCTGATAATACATCTAATCCACCCCCCTGTTAGAAAAGAAGCCAGAATATTTTACAAATAAATTTCTGCCAATAAGTAACATGCTTCCGTATTTCTAGAAAGCACCATCATATATTCATTCTGAATTCATGCTCTCCAGAAGTTTACTACCTAAAGAAATCATTTATAAAAGCTGCTTTTGAAATGGAGTAACGGATTAGCTGAGATATTTAAAATCTCAGTAAAGAGATGGCAATATAGTTAAAATAAAGGCTCCAAATCAATGAAATAAAACTAAAAGGTTTGGGAAAAAACTTCATTGCAAAGCCTAAGAATCAATAAACTTTACATTTAATAGCTTACTATAGGAAGTAGATTCTTAAAGGAGGGATCAAGCAGGCATTTTTCTATCTCAGATATAAAATTCATGCTTTTATTTGAAAAAAAAATCCACAGCTCATGTAACAGAAAGCTGTAGCGTTATGGTTTCCAAATGTTTTCACTATTACCCACTGTAAGAAATATAAATTGTGACCTAATTGCGCGCGTGCGCGTGTGCTTGTGTGTGTGTGTGTTTGTATGCAGCTGAAAGGAGTTTCACAAAACATGACTTCTTTTTATGGGCTATGCATTCTCATACTTTGTATTCTACACTATTCTACTCCATTTAAAAATGCTGGTCAAGATGCACTAAAGTGATTTTATCACCCTATCGTGTAAAAAAGGCTAACCTGGAAGTTGCAATACCATGGAATATACTGGCAGAAGACAAGCGTGAATGAAGGATAAATTAAGCTCTAAAATGAGAAGTGATGCTATAAATCTGGATTCTATTCTGGCTGGAGCTTGTAAGATTCTGTTCCATAGTGAAAAGCTAAGACTTATTTCTAATTCTAATTACTGTAATACTTTTTCTTAAAAAAAAAACTCATATATTTTGATAAGTTTCACAAGAGGTAAATTATAAAACAGCTAAAGCATAGTGGGTACAATACTTTAAAATCTTGCTTAAAATAATTTTCTAGCTTCTTAGGGCTCCATCAGTTAAATAATGTTGACTTTAATAAATACCTGAACAAGTTTGTCAATTCCCAGAGCTCTGTCTAGTTCAGCTAGCTCAGTTTCATCTTTGCCACTAAGGAAGGATACCAGCTGTTCAAGAAGAGCCTTCTCATCATTTCTCCCTTCTACTGTTGTGGGTGGACAGAGAAGCTCATCTAATTGTGAGCTAATACACTGGCTGCAGGATTAAAAAACAAGAAAGTTTCAGACTGACATAGCAAATAATTTATTCAATCTTTATATACATATATAGATGCAAATTTGGTCTTAGAAAATTCACTGTTGAGATGCTTGGCAATTCTAATGCCATGGAATGTTCTATGTTTAATGTGTAGAAATTAAATGAGTATTTGGTATGTAGCTTGAATATAGTTTTCATTCTTTTGTCAGTCATTGAACTTTGTTCCCATATTCTTTATGTTCCAGAAATAGCCTGGAAAATTAACCAAACAGTTAAGAAAGGGGAAATAACTTTTAATAAAAGTAAAAACAAAATCAGCCAAAAACTGAGAAAAAATCATTTAGCCTATATTCAGATTTATTCTACTTATTCTATTTATTTACCTTTTATGAATGCCATTAATTGTTAATAACTGAACCACAATCAAAACAGTACATATTATATTAACTTTTAAAGATGATCAAATCATTTTGATTGTTAACATGACATGATTACCATTTACAAAAGAAATCAAACTGGAAAAATGAAATATGCTAGGTATTAAGCAACAAATTATTCACTGATTACATGTAGGAAATATACAGTCTAATCCAAATAGATACCAACTGATACATAAAACAGAAATATATACAAAATAATACTAATCCTAATAACACTAATAATACAATTATAAGCATTCTTCCTTTGAGAAGGTAAATGGGAATACAGTTCATAGTTAAGGCGCTAAACCACAATCAATACTATCTAGTCTTCCTGTGGTTGGCAGGTATGAGACGCAGCCTGCGTTATGGAATATGGCTGCCTGCGGGGAGTAAGAAATTCAATTCTAATCAAGATGTGACACTGAGTAGATGTAAAAAGTATACTTTCCTTTCTTATAACTTCTTGCACCAAACGAAGAGAAATGCTGGACAAAATAATAATATAACTAAAAGTTCAAGAGCAATATAATTATTGTACTGAGGCCAATTCATCCATAGGTCCCAGATACATTATGGTAATCAATTAAAGTAATACATGAAATATAAAACAATAGCTACATATTATATCAATCTCTTGGTGATTACAACGTATACTAGCCTTGTGGTCATGCAGTCAATAAATCTGTTTAATTCAGTGTCTTTCCCTTGTCCCCGCCACCCTTTTTTTTTTTTTTTTTTTTTTTTGAGACAGAGTTTCACTCTTGTTGCCCAGGCTGGAGTGCAATGGCGCAATCTTGGCTCACTGCAACCTCCACCTCCTGGGTTCAAGCAATTCTCCTGCCTCAGCCTCCTGAGTAGCTGGGATTACAGCTGCGCACCACCACGCCTGGCAAATTTTTTGTATTTTTAGTAGAGATGGGGTTTCACCATGTTGGCCAGGCTGATCTCAAACTCCTGACCTCAGGTGATCCACCTGCCTCCGCCTCCCAAAGTGCTGGGATTACAGGCCAGAGCCACTGCACCGGGCCCACTTTTTTTTTTTTTTTTTAGTAAGTATTTACATCTATTAATATCTCACAAAATACCACTGTAGACTGAAATGTAGTTTGGAAAAAATAGTTCTCTGTTTAGAAGTTGGTATCTGATACCTTATAAAATACAAAATGTATTACTTACTCTTCTGATTTACTCTGATTTATAGCTGTCACTGTATTATTTGTCCATGGAATCTGATCGCCTGTTCCTGGTTGTCCAAATTGGTTATCAATTGCTTCCAATTCCAGCTCAGGTAATCCTGATTTAAGAAGAAAAGGTAAGAAGTCATTATCTCAGTGGAGGATAAAATGATGGTATTTTCAAAAATAATATATTGGAGAGTGAGATTTCTCCTTTAAAATATTACTTCAATGATACAAAGGTCACTTATTCAGCAATTTAAACTATCTAGTGTGACCACATAATAAAAAAGTAAATGAGAAAGTGAAAAAAGATTTCTGAATCAAGGAAAATCTGATATTAAAGTTTGTACATAGGTTACTGTTATCCAGAATCACTCAGGACTTTGTCAGAAATTATTTATCTTAAAGATAAATTTAACAATTTTGGTTATCTGCTTTTCAGTCACATATCAGAATATGCTATAAGTAACACAGTGTCATCACCACGAAATAAGAGTGGTGAGCAAAAGATAAAATACATTCTATCAGAGGCAGGAACAGAAACTAGAATCTGAGGCCATGCAGCAAATGAACACAGCTCTACAGTTGCTAATCTTAGAATATAGCTGTACAATAACAGTATAAGAACTGAGACTTATAATGATGGCCCAAATGAAAAAAGAAGTTGAATTATGTTTTGTAATTGAAGAAAATAGTATATGCATTTTAGAACGTTTTTCTGTAACGCTTTTTTGGAAAGCTTTATGATCATCTCTGTACTATTTATACTAGAAAAAAATTTATAAATAACCTAAATTCCAGAAACTTAGGGACTGATTAATGAATTATGGCATAGATATTGACAATGTGCTGTTAAATGAAAAAAGAAAACATATTCCAAAACATTATTTTCAGGATGACTCTGTTTTTATAAACTATTTCATATATATTAATATAAAAAAATTCTGGGATCTCACACACACACACACACACACACACACACACACACACGCACACTTTAGGTCCACTTTAGGTAGTGAGATTAAAGGCTGCTTTTCTTTCTATGATGGTTATTTGAAATTTCTAAAATGAATATATATTAATTGATCATTGTTATGGGCTGAATTGTACCCCCCTCCAAATTAATATGCTGAAGTCCTAACCCCTGGTATCTCAGAATGTGACTATATTTGGAGACAGGGCCTTTAAAAAGGTAACTAAGACAAAATGGGTCTTTACAGTGGGCCCTAATCCAATATGACTAGTGTCTTTCCAAGAAGAGGAGTTCAGGAGAAAAAAAATACAGACAGAGGGATAACCTGACCCAGAGAGAAGAGGGCCATCTCCAAGCCAAGGAAAGAAGCCTCAGAAGAAACCAAAACTACTTTAGGCTTCCAGAATTGTGAGAAAATAAATTTCTGTTGTTTAAGCCACCTAGTCAGTGGTATTTTGTTATAGTAGCCCAAATAGAATCTTTTTTTAAAAACTAAAACAGCCTTGGAGTTTTAAGGGAAAGCTTATTGAGGTAGAATTTCTCATTCGAATGAATGAAGAATAAGTAGATTTAAGGATGCTTCCCAAAATGTACTTAATGCTAGTTACTGAACATTATTAACTACATAATACATGCAAGGCTCACTTCTAAGTGAATATATTCAATATTTAGTATAACTGAGAAATAAAAGTTACATAAACACATTTACTTTTAAATGTATATAATTACAGCTTTCGATTAACCTCATCTCTATCATGACAAATGATATAGAAATCAAATTCTGTAGGATTCTGAAAAACACAACAAAATAAAACAACAAAAAAAAAGGGAAATAATCACTTACTTTCTGTCATTATTTAAATCAGAAAGTTGGTCAAAGATTATCTAAAACTGTCCCATTGGCTCTGCCTACATGTTAATTCCTCAATCTTATTTCAAGAAATCTAATCTTAATTATTATAACCAAAATTAATTAATTTAAAAGTCTAAGAAAATTTACATGGCTGTCCACTGTCTACTAGCAATACTAAGTTTTGCAAGATAGTTTATTTGACTCAGTAATAGGACACAGTATCTAATTTTACTAGTCTTGAAAAAAATGTTAAGAAAATAAGTTGGATAAAATATTTTCAAAATAAGATTCATATGCTGAGTTTGGTGACTAAGCAAACAAAAACAAACAAAAAAATCCCCATACTAATAAAATTTTAAGTCAAAAAAAAGTTTTGTTTGGATAGACTGCATGCTTAAAAGAAGTTGGTTTTTATTCTGAAAGTCATTTCAACCTTTTGCGACTTTCTTTAGAAACTGCCTTCTGTAAAAAATGTGAAGGTATGCTTCACGTATTTCTTCTAGGAAATACACAGGCTCTCTCTCTTTGTCCAGAGAATAAATGAAATATTTTTGGTCATTTCTGTGACACAAACATGAGTAAGTATACATGTAATACAGGACAATACAGTCATTTCTGCTGGAAACAGGCAGCTGAAGTAGGGGCAGAAAACAAGCCCTAGGGATCCCCCGATCAAGCTATTAACATTCGTTATCATCTTTGCAAAGGGCTCAACATCATACTTCCTCCATTTAAAATATAGCTAAAAGGGACACTGAACCCAGCAAACAAAACAAAACAAAACAAAACAAAACAAAAAACAAACAAAAAAACCCCCCTTATATTAAGAAATAATTTAAAAATTTCTGTCACTTCCAAGATTAGGATATAGAAAAAAATTTCTGTACACCAAGTAGAAAGCATTTTCTTAACCATGAGGGTGGCTTTTGCACATTCTACTCTTCTAACAGTTGATTTAGTATCTACTGATTTTGATATTCACAGTTAATTTTCTTCAGCTGTTGTTAAGGAAGTTTCTGGTTTAGTTTTGTGTTACATTTGGCAGTAACTGCACAGCAGTTACAGTGTTTTATTTTTTTCAAAACATGATGTAGACAAAGAACTCATTTTTCTAACATATAAAAAATTCTATAAATCAATAGGATAAAAACCCAGTAAGACAATAGGTAGAGAATATGAACATAAATGAATATTATAAAATCATTAAAATATGATCTAATTCACAATAAAAGAAATATAGATTAAAATGACATTGAGATACCTAAAAGAATAAAACCATCAGATGGGCAAAAATGAGAAAGTACATAATTCAATGTATTGGCAAGGATATGCAGAAATGGAAACATTATCAGTTAGGGTGTAAGCTGAAACAACTGCTGGAAAGGACTATTTGGCAATATCTATCTTTTGACCCAGCAATTCTATTCAGAACTTGTATCTCAGATATACCGTCACATGTGGTAAATTATCTCTACATAAGATTATTCATTACAGCTTTGTGATAGCAAAAGATGCCTATCAGGCTACTGGTTAAGTAAATTCTGGTACAACTGTAAGAAGTTGTACAGCTATAAAAAAAGAATAAAGATGCTCTTTATGCACTGATACAGAATGACATCCATAGAACATTAAGTGAAAAAGTGACTAAGATACAGAACAGCTAATGTGTATAGTATGACACTATTTGTATTTTAAAAAGGGAAGTCTATGTACGTAATTTTTGAAGGTACAGAAAAAACGATACTGCCAGGAAAGATATTTTTCACTATATATTTTAAAAACTTTTTTGAATGTTGAACCGTGAATATCTTAATCACTAAAAATAAATAAACAAATATACAAAAACCATGAAATGTAACTTCAAAGGATTTTTTTTTTTTTTTTTTTTTGGAGACAGGGTCTCACTGTCGCCCAGGCTGGAGTGTAGTGGCATGATCTCGGCTCACTGCAACCTCCACCTCCTTGGGTTCAAGTGATCCTCCTGTCTCAGCTCCCCAAGTAGCTGGGACTACAGGTGCATACCACCATGCCTGGCTAATTTTTGTATTTTTTGCCCATGTTGCCCATTTTTCACCATGTTGCCCAAGCTGAAAAATGGATCTTTTTAGGTACTGAAAATGTTGCATACGAAAATAGTGATTTTTATAGTTATACAATATTTTTGATTTACTGTGAATTAATAAGATTAAAAAAA
Organism: Homo sapiens; assembly: GCF_000001405.40. Classification (NCBI taxonomy): domain Eukaryota; kingdom Metazoa; phylum Chordata; class Mammalia; order Primates; family Hominidae; genus Homo; species Homo sapiens. The sequence continues at coordinate 24,722,684 of NC_000002.12, read as the reverse complement.
AATTATCCCAGAATGTTTATGTTCACAGAACACAAAAACAACTGCCTCACACGGTCATTCACTTATTCCAGTGATGTCAATGCTTAAATATTTTTGGAATTCTTCAGGAACTATCTCAACCAGTCCACAGGTCCTTCAAGAAAATAAGTTTCCTCATAGGTACACTTTTTAGTTTTTGATTTAAAAAAAACAGCATTATTCTTTTTAGATCAACGTATTTGGTTCCACATGACTGGAAATTTTCAAAAGTGAAATCTACCCTCAAACAATAGGGATTTGAAGATAGTCAAAAGGACACAGCAAAGGTTTTGAAGGTACTGACAAACAGGCATGCTGTACACATTCTGATCAACAGTACCCTCATAAAAGCTATCTCCATTGAAAAAGCAGTATTTACCTGGATGTGCTCTGGTAGAACATTTCTAACAAAATTACTTAAATCACTTGGCCACACTGCTTGGGTGTGTGTGTGTGCATACACACAACATGTTTTGAAACCAGGTGGATTGAGATTTAAATCCTGGTTTATTCTACAAATACTACTTTGGGGAAGTTTTTGTCTGTGTGTGTTTATGTGTCTCCCTTTTCTCTGGACCTTTGTTTTCTCATTTGTAAACGAACCCAAGGAGACTTGTGGTTCAATGTGGCAGATATATCACTTATATTTTATTTTCTCTTCAAAAACACCACTGAAATAACTCAAGAAAGAAAAAAGGGGAACACAAATCTACAGCCGAAGGAAAGGCAGAAGAAATTTTCATGGCAGAAGACTAAAACAACGAAGAATTTCTGAAAGACAAAACACAAATGGAAACAAACTGATTGTGAAACTTCAACTAAACTAAAACACTTGCAACAGGAGAAAGAGATTTTCCAAAGAGAGGAATTTTCCCAGAACACCAGAACAACTCCAGGCTCAGTGGTCATTTGAGCAAATAAAGGAACAGGCCATGGGCAATTGCTGGATAATTATGGATGGCTGAACAGCTGCTGCCAGGCCATTGCTCTGAGTGCAGCTGACTCTGGCACCTGTCCATGGGATTACAATTGTGAGCATATGACTCAAAATGGGAGTTCTGCCCAGGGAATCTCCCAAAGGGGGTGCTAGGGCTGCCACAAGGGGTTTCCCCACCTCCAAGGCCTATTCCTCACAACAACTGAGAAGTAGGGCTTCTATAATCAGAATCTACATTCACTGCCAGGGGAAAAGGGCTTCTCACTTTAGCTAAAGAAATACACTAGCTACCAGTATTTTAAAATTCTAGATCTTTTTCAATATATATGGAGAGACAGTCAAAATTTACCAAACATTCAAGAAAAGTCAACAGGAGAAAGAAAGCAACTTTAATGAAGAAAGTAATGTTGAAGAAAAAAGAGTTAGTATAGAAAATGAGTGAACCCCAAATTACAATAAATATCATCATACAGATTAAAAAGTCTATTGCATCCATAAAAAGTAATAGACTCCTAAGAAAAAGAATGTTTAGAAATCTTAAAATTATAGCTATGATGAAATGATCTCAATAGATGGACTGAAGGGCAGGATGGACATAGCTGAAGATTTAGTTTTGATCTGGAAAGTTGAGCTCAGAGATTCTCTCAGAATACAGTGCAAAATGGCAAGGAAAAGAAAAGTATAAGAGAAAAAGATAAGTGTCATGGGGGATAGAGCCATTACTTCTAACTGTGTATCTCAGGTGGTGAAGGAGGATGATAATTAAACTATCCTATGCAAGATATTTGTACGTGACACAGTTCAGCTAAGATTGAAGACTAAAGTAAGGAAAGGTGCTTGATTTTCCTGGGCGGGCACAAACTTAAGATGTGGGCCAATCAATAATAGACTCTGGTTCTAGTAGACAGTAGTGATGGGACAATTTAGAGGTAAGAGTGGGGCAGAGAATTAGAAGTGATTCTTTTCTTCTTCTCTTTATACGCTATCATATTTTTGTTCCCATCTTTTTTCTTTCTTTTTCCTTCTGCAATCCTTAATTCTTTTTTCCTTTTTCACACCCAACTTGTTTCCTTAGCCTTATGGTCTCTGAATTCTTTTTTCTTTCCTGTCTATATCTACACATTGTAGACTGGTTGTCTGCATCTACTGACCTCCCCCATATCTACCTTGGTATCTTCCCCTCTATGCTCTTGGCCTTTGCGAACATATTAGCACGAGGTGAAACAGATTCTGGCCTATTTACATACTTTCACTTATGGAGCTGTACTCCGGAGGGGAAGCCTCAAGGGAGAAAAAAGCTGTTTGCCTCAATACAGACTATGACAGAAAACACCCCACTTTCACAACTTGCAAAGCTAGCAGATACTATTTCTATTAACTCTAGTTTTTATCAAGTTAACACACACACATAATTTTATAAGTCAGAACCAAGAGGCCCATAATAAATAAAGCAGTTTCTTGCCTCACCCCTTCCAGTCACTTAGTTACCTCCTTCTCAATAGAGGCAACCATCTGCAACTCTGAAAACTGTTTTCTTTGGCATTGCCTATTTATTTCTAAATATGCATATATTGCTATTTCTTGATGTCTCCATTTTAGATTTACTGACTTCCCCTCATTATAGATGAGGTCTTAGTTCTTCCACATGTACCTCTCTTACTACCATCCTGGTTCCCAATTCCCTAACAGAGATCATAGTTTTTTATAAAATCAAAAGCTAATATTTTGATTATGATTATGCAAATATTGCTCACTGCTAAGTCAAATTGTGCACTTTGTTCGAACCTCCTCTCTTGTGCCATACTTTCTTTTTTCTGGAGTTAATAATTTTCTTATGTTTTCATTTGTCAGCGGTTCTAGAATTTATCAGATGTTTCAACATTCTGACATAAATCTATCAATAATATTTTCTATAAACTCAAGGAGATCAATTCATTTCTTCTCTGGAGGCCTCCTTTCTAGAGGATTCGCCAGGCCCCCGGTTCAATATGCACTGGTTGTTCCCTAATCTTGTGGATCAGCTGTCATTCCTGGGCTTCCTTTCAGATCCTTTGCTTCCTCCGTCTCTTTTGGTTTTGTCTCTTTTGGTTTTCCCCTGTTTAAGGACATCTTCCAGGACCTTTGCTAGAAAAGGTGAATATATCAAGCAGATAAAATCTGAGGTCTTTTATATCTGAAAATGCTTTATTCTATCTTTACAACTACAAGAAATGTGATAGTTATTGGCTGGAAATCATTCTACTCTCAGATATTTCTAAACTAAACTTCATTGATGTATAATTTACATACAATAAAATGCACCCATTTTAAGTTCAACAAATTTTGTACAGTTCAACAAATTTTGAGAAAGGTATAAACCCAGGACTTTCCACTCAAATCAAGAAAACAGAATATTTCTATCACCTCTAAAATTTCCTTCATGTTCCTTGGCTATCAATCTTCCTAACTCAGGCAAACAATGATCAGACTTCTATTACTACAGATTAGTTTTGCCTGTTTGAGAGCTTAAAAAAAATCTGAATATATATGGCTTTTTTCACTTAGCATGTTTCCAAGAGTAATTCATCCTATGTAATAGTATTATAGTTCCTTCCTTTTCATTGCTGAGCAGTGTTTCATTTTATGAATACACCACTTACTTGTTGACAGACATTTAGTTTGTTCCGGTTTGGGGTTTTTTTTTTTTTTTTTTTTTTTTTTTGGGACAGAGTCTCACTTTGTAGTACAGGCTGGAATGCAATGGTGCGATCTCGGCTAACTGCAACCTCCACCTCCCAGGTTCAAGTGATTTTCGTGCCTCAGCCTCCCTAGAAGCTGTGATTACAGGCGCCCGCCACCACACCTGGCTTTTTTTTTTTTTTGAGACAGAGTCTCATTCTGTCGCCCAGGCTGGGGTGCAGTGGCGCGATCTCGGCTCACTGCCAGCTCTGCCTCCCGGGTTCAGGCCATTCTCCTGCCTCAGCCTCCTGAGTAGCCGCCCGGCTGATTTGTTTTTTTTTTTTTTGTAGTTTTAGTAGAGATGGGGTTTCACCATGTTAGCCTAGTTTTGTATTTTTTTTTAGTAGAGATGGAGTTTCACCATGTTGGCCAGACTGGTCTTGAACTCCTGACCTCAAGTGATCTGCCTGCCTCAGCCTCCCAAAATGTTGGGATTACAGGTGTGAGCCACCGCGCCCACCCAGTTTGGGGCTATTTTGAATAAAACTGTATGGATATTTGTAGTCAAGTATCTTTATGGACGTGGACTTTCATTTCTCTTGGTTAAATACCTAAAAGTTGAACTGTTGGGTTACATGGTAAATGTATGATTAACTTTATGAGAAATTGCTGAACAATGTTCCAAATTTGCTATACCACTTTACATGCCATTAGCAATGTAAAAGTTCAAATTGTTCCACACCCTTGCCATCACTTGCCATCACTTGGTATGGTCAGTTTTTAAAATTTTGGGCATTCTAATGGGTATGCAGTGGTATTGCACTGTAGTTTTAATTTGCATTTCCTTGATGATTAAAGATGTTAAGTATCTTGGCCGGGAGCAGTGGGTCACACCTGTAATCCTGGCACTTTGGGAAGCCAAGGCGGGTGGATCACTTGAGGCCAGAAGTTCTAGACCAGCCTGGCCAAAATGGAGAAACCCCATCTCTACTGAAAATACAAAAAAAATTATCCAGGCATAGTGGTGCACACCTGTAATCCCAGCTACTTGGAAGGCTGAGGCACGAGAATTGCTTGAACTTGAGAGGCAGAGGTTGTAGCGAGCGGCAATCATGCCATTGCACTCCAGCCTAGGCAACAGAGAGACTCAAAAAAAAAAAAAAAAAGATATTAACCATCTTTTCACATGCTGATTTGCCATTTTCATATCTTCCTTTGTGAAATATCTTTTAAAATCCTTTGCCCAGTGTTTAGATTGGACAGTTTTTCCTACTATTGCATTAGTGTGGTACATTTGTTAGAACTGATAAGCCAATATTGACACATTAGTATTAACTAAAGTCCACAGTTTACATTAGAGTTCACTCTTTGTGTTGTACATTCTGTGGATTTTGATATTTTGACCAATACAGAATGACAGGATAGATACATGTCATTGCATACACATGATTTATATATATATATGTGTATATGTCTATGTACATTTATTTATACATGATATGAACACAGGGGATTTTTAGGTATGATACTTATCACATAAAATCCCCTGTGTTCTCCTTATTCATCCTTGCCTTTGGCAACCACTGACAACAAACCCCTGGCAACTCCTGATCTTTTGACTGTCTCCACAGCTTTGCCTTTTCCAGAATACGGCTGGAATTATACAGGATGTGTAGCCTTTTCAGATTGGCTTCTTCTCAGCAATGTCTTTTCATGGCTTGATCGCTTCCAAGTTTTGGCAATTATGGATAAAGCTGCCATAAACATTCATGTGCAGGTTTTTGTGTGAACATAAGTTTTCAACTCATTTGGGTAAATATCAAGGAGTGTGATTGCTGGATCATATGGTAAGAGTATGTTTAGTTTTGTAAGAAACTGCCAAAATGTCTTCCAAAGTGGCTGTACCATTTTGTATTCTCACCAGCAACGAGAGTTCCTGTTGCTCTACATCCTCGCCAGCATATTGTTGTTTTAATTTGCAATTTTCTAATGACATATGAGTTGGGCATCATTTCATATGCTTATTTACCATCTGTATATCTTCTTTGGTGAGGTGTCTGTTCAGATCTTTTGCCCATTTTTAAATTGAGTTGCTTGTTTTCTCATTGTTTCATTTTAAGAGTTCTTTGTTTATTTTGGGTATCACTCCTTTATATCAGATATGTGTTTTACAATATGAGTTAGGAAATATTTTCTTTGCTTCTATTTTTTGGAAGAGATTAGAGAGAATATAATTTCTTCCTTAAATGTTTGGTAGAATTACAAGTGAACCCATCTGGGTTTAGCCTAGTGATTTCTGTTTTGAAAGGTTATTGATTATTGATTCATTTTCTTTCAAGAGGTGGTCTTTAAAGAGCAGAAGATTTAACATTTAACGAAGTCTAATGTATCAATCTTTTTCTTTCATGATTAGCACTTTTTGTGTCCTATCAAAAATGTGTCTATCTCAATGACTTTTTTTTGTTGAAAAGCTTTATAGTTTTAACTTTTATATTTAAGCCTATGATCAACTCAAAATAAGTTCATTTTTTTGTGTATGGGATGAGGAGAGAGGTTGAGGTTCATTTTTTTCTACATAGATGTTCAGTTGTTATATCACCATGTATTGAAATGACTATTCTTTGTTTAATTACCTTGGTGTCTTTGTTGAATGTCAATTCGCCATATAAATGTGGGTCTGTTTCTGGACTCTCCATTATTTTGCATTGATCTATATGTCTATTTTTATTCCAAAACCACACCATCTTGATGACTGGTGCTTTATAGAAGTATTAAAATCAAGCAGTATAAATACTCCCAAGTTTTCTTTTTTTTTTTTTTAAGTGGTTTTTGTTATTTCAGGACCTTTGCATTCTCATATACACTTTAGAAAAAGCTTGTCAAATTTTACTAAAATGCCTGCTCAGATTTTTTTTTTTTTTTTTTTTTGAGACGGAGTCTCACTCTGTCACCCAGGCTGGAGTGCAGTGGCGCAATCTCGGCTCACTGCAATCTCCGCCTCCTGGGTTCACACCATTCTCCTGCCTCAGCCTCCCGAGTAGCTAGGACTACAGGCACCTGCCACCACGCCCGGCTAATTTTTTGTATTTTTTTAGTAGAGACGGGGTTTCACCATGTTAACCAGGATGGTCTCGATCTCCTGACCTTGTGATCCGCCTGCCTCGGCCTCCCAAAGTGCTGGGATTACAGGCGTGAGCCACTGCGCCCGGCCGCCTGCTGGGATTGTTATTGGGATTACATTAAATTTACATGGGTTGATTTTGGAATAACTGATATCTTGACAAAATTGTGTCTTACAATCCATGAAAATGGTATCCCTCTCCATTTATTTGGCCCCCCTCTAATTTCTCTCAGCAAAGTAGTTTTCAGTGTAGAGTAATGCACATGTTATTCCATCTAAAATTTATGTCTTAATATTTTATGTATTTTGTAAATTGCTTTTTCTATATCATTATCCAATTGTATGTAACTGATATACAGAAATACAATTGATTTTTTAAAATACTGAGTACACATATTGTGACTTTGCTAAGTTCATTTAGTTCAAGTAGCTTTTCCTCTCACTTCTTTAGGATTTTCTACATGCAGGACACTTATAGAATATTTTTCTGTTAAAAAAATGCATTTTTAACTTTAGCCTCTAGCCTCAAATATTATACTATTTTGTAGAAAAGAGTATTGTCTCATTTATTCTACCCCATTTTTGGTACTATTACTGTCATACATTTTTCTTCTACATATTACATATATAATTCACTGTTATTATTTTTGCTTTAAACAGTTATTTTTCATTTAAAGAAACTAACAAATGAGAAAAAAGAATTTTCCATTTATTCATACCTTTACTTATCTGGCTCTCTTATTATTTTCTGTAGGTTAGAGTTTCCATCTGGATTCATTTTATTTTAGCTTGAACAATAGTGTAATCTGCTGGTGACAAATTTTCTCAGGGTGGTTTGTTTGAAAACATCTTTATTTCACCTGCATTTCTGAATGATACTGGATACAGAAAGTTAGTTGTTTTCTTATCTTTGTTCATCTTATATCATTTTCTATCTTTTTTCATCTCTGTGTCATTTTGAATGATACTAAGTATAGAAAGTTTTTTCTTGTTTATCTGACATAATGTGTCATTTTTCTTTGATTGGTTTTAAGATTTTTGTTTCAGCAATTTGATTATGACATGGCTTATAGTAGTTTTCTTTGTGTTTATTTTGCTTGGGATTCATTAAACTCTTGGATTTGTAGGTTTACAAATTTCCACAAATTTGTAAATATTTTGGCTGTTTTTTCAAAAATTTCACCTGCTCCCCCTTCTTCCATAATTATGTATTATTTATATATTATGTGTATACTAGACTGCTTTGTATTGTTCCACAGGTGACTGAGGTCTTTCAATACTTTTGTGGTATTCTTTTTCTCCTCTAATTTGAGTAGTTTCTAATACTATGTCATGTTTATTGCTCTTTTTTTCCTGCAGTGTCTAATCTGCTGGTAGGCTCCTCCAACAAATTTTTCATTTTAAATACTGTATTTTTCAGCTCTACCAGCTCTATTTGGCTCTTTTTTTTTGTAGTTTATATCTCTTCCCTCATTATGTTCATGTTGTCCCTTAAGTTCTTCAACATATTTAGAATAGCTATTTTCAAATCTTTTTCTATTACTTCTATCATCTCTGTCATTTCTGGATCTATTAACTGACTTTGTTTGGGTATGGGTCACAGTTTCTTGCTACATCATGTGTCTTAATTTTTTTTATTATATGTTGGAAATTATGAATATAATGCTGCTGAATGTCTGAATTTTGGTGTCTTCTTTAAAAACTATTGAATAGTGTTCTTTCAGACAGTTAATTTACTTGTACATAAGCTTGATCCTTTTGAGGTTTGTTTTTAAGATGTCAAAGCAGGTCTAGGGTAAATCCACTCTTAAAGTGAGGCCATTTTCCACTAAATGTCCCAGATGTTCAAGAAGGTCTACCGACTCTGATTGGTCAGGACTTGATTATCTTCCAATCTTGTGTGAGTTCTGGTAGTTGTTCAGCTCACTCCTTCCTGATAGTTGTTCTTCCTTCACAAACTGTTCTTTGCCCCACCTGATGGAGTATCGTTGAATACATGCACAGTGTAGTATTCAGCCAAGGATAGAAAAGAACCCTGATTCAGATTTTTGTTGCTATTTTCTACATATCCTTCTCTTCTCGGGTACTTTGTTCAGCAAGTTCTAGCTGCCCCACTGTCACTGAACTCCTATCACTATTTTCGGAGTTTAGTAAAATATCCGTGCTTATTTTGGGTTCCTCCTACCTGTACTTGGTTTGGTAAACATCTCCAAGAAAAAAGCTGAGATGATTGTAGAGCTCACCTGACTTGCTTCCTTCTCAGAGAGATCACAGTCTCACACTGCCTATTATCTATTGGCTTACAAGAATTGTTTAATGTATTTGCTCTTTTTCCCGTTATTTACAGTGGGAGGACTAGACCAGTGCCAATTATTGCTGTCATAGTTGAAAGTAGAAGTCCTTTTTCTCAAATCATAAATGTCTTCTAGTTCCAATATTACCTTTGAAAATTCCTGATTCACTGTATGGAATTAACTTCTCTCTGAAAGGTTTTAGAATCTTTTCTTTATCTCTCATGTTCCAGAATGATATGATGACAAGCTTTGGTACAAGTACTTTTTTTTTCCATTTGTGTTGGGTACTTGTTGAAACACTGTAATCTGGGGAATCAGAAAATTCTCTTATATTTTTTGATGTTTCCCACCCTTGTTTGTGTAATTCTTTTATTTTTTTAAATTAAATTTAATTTTTAAAATTAATTAATTAATTAATTATTTTTGAGATAGAGTTTTGCTCTTGTCGCCCAGGCTGGAGTGCAATGGCACGATCTCAGCTGACTGCAACCTCTGCCTCCTGGGTTCAGGTGATTCTCCTGCCTCAGCCTCCCAAGTAGCTGGGATTACAGGTGCCTGCCACCATGCCCAGCTAATTTTTGTATATTTTTGGTAGAGACAGGGTTTCACCATGTTGATCAAGCTGGTCTTGAACTCCTGACCTCAGGTGATCCGCTTGCCTCAGCCTCCCAAAGTGCACGATTACAGGCGTGAGCCACCGCACCTGGCCTGTTTGTGTAATTCTTAATCATTACTGGCCCTCTGAGGTGGACCTTGTAATTTCCTTAACTTTTTCTTCCCTACTTCCCATTTGTCTTTCTGGGAGCATCTTTTTGTTCTTTCTGGAAGCTTTTCTCAGCTGTATCATCTTACATTTCCCTCATTAAAAAAAAAAGTTGGATACCTAATTTCCAAGAGTTTTTTCTGTTCTTTGTCCCTTTTTTTCCCTTTCCATATTTTCAGGGGTAATACATTTTTATCTTTCTAAAATTTCTAGTAGTTTTTTTCTTTTTTGGTTTATGCATTCATTATATATTTCCACTGCATACTTTTTCTGTTTATTTCTTTTTCTCCCTTTCAAGTTGCAGAGTTTCCTCCAAGTACTGATGATTCTTGACTGTGTCTGTTCAGTCAGTGTTCTTAAACATGGACTGGGAGGGCTGAGTGCCAGGCTTGTCTCTTCTGGGAGCCTTCATTGTTGGATGATGAGATAGCAGAATGGCTTTTGTACTTATATACTCACATCCAGACATCTTTCCGCCCATTCAATGTCCCCTGAGAAAATTCTTCCAGTCTCCCATATTGGATGGGGAAGGAGATAAAGACCTCCAAATCAATCAATATGCAGACTTTCATTTTATCTCTTTTCAGCCTTGCATCTTACTGTTTCCTCAATTGTGACTGACATTCCAGTCTAGAGCCTCACTGCTTCTATTAGAAGAAACTTTCAAAATCATTTAATCTAATTCTTATATTGCAGATAAAGAGAATAAGGTTCAAAAAATGTACTTCCTTGAGGTAAGACTGTTAATGACTGGAGAATGTGAGATTTGAATCTAGGCTTCTGACTCTTCCTCTAATACTCTGGTCAGCTAAAATACTGCCTCCAAAAATGTCACAGATGGATTCAAGATTATTCTTCGCAGCTGTCTGAAATCCTGGCAAACTATCAGTAATTGGGTCATGACAGTTAAAAGTTCCAGTTGGACTGAAATAACTGAAGTCCCACATATGATACCATCAGAAAAGGGATAGAACTAACGTTGAAAATCCAGACTAATTTTGAAAGTGGGCTGATTAGTTTCCTTTAGTTTCAAGGTCATACAATGGAATTCTTACCACTGGTTTTTTCAACATCAAAATGTGATGGGCAAAAAAATCTGACAGCCTTATCTTCATAAATTTAATGTATTAAACTATCAAAGTGTCTCTCAACTAGGAAAATGCTAACTTGGGTTAGAACAATAACATATTTTAACACAGTTGTCTCCTAAGCAACTTCATGGAAAACTCATTCTGTGGTATAACATGTATTACTTGAGAAAAGAAATTCCATAATCAGGAAAGTTTGGGAAATGTTGGGTAAAAGAAATCTAAACTACATTCTTTAATACAAGGCTTCTCAAAACTGCTAATAGGCATTAAAACATCAATATGAAATGTATGGAACATGTAGCATTTGCCCAGTGTATTTTAGTACAGAATCTTTTATTTCTGCAACTCACAGGATTAGTTTTCAAGGAAGATATCTGGAAACAATCTGACCCAATACTGTATTTCTGAAAGTCCTGTTATGGGGTGTTTTGGGTGAGACGACAAAATTGTTCTCCTTAACATCAATTGCTCACCTTAACATTAATTACAAAAGGATAGAGGTCATAATTTAAAATACACATGATGAATGATGTTCACATGCCTAAATATAACTGTTTTATTATTTATAGTGGCATTAATAAAAAGATATTTCACTCTTAAGCAAAGGATCTGTGTAATACTGGTGAGAGACAAAATGCTAATCCACATTATCACTAAACGTTTAAAATGAGGTGTTGTCCCCAGAACATACTATTTAGCCTGGAAGTGGGTCTGGCAGTGGCGGACTGAAGTGAAGCTGGCAGGATCTCCGATTTGATGGTTACACTGGTGACCGCACCATCCATCCTGTCTGTCTCACATAAGCCTGGCAACTGTGCTGCCTTCTCCAGCGTGGGCAGTAACTGATCAAACTGGTCAAGGTCAGCTGTAAACTAAGAATGGAAACCAAAGTTAGAGGAAATATATTTTACACTTTCACCTGAAACAACGTAGAAAAAAATGCTGCTTCTTTAAACTCTATGAATTCAGTGTGACTTTGAGATAATGAAGAAAGAAGAAATAATTAGAATGATTGGGGCTACTTGGAAATTACATGAGCTAACTATTCCATGGGGAAAATATTTGGATGCTTCTGATAATAGTATTCATATACTGCAGGATATAAATAATACACATATATTTGGCTACTATATCTTGGTACAAAAATCTATGTATAAAAAAAGATTGGACTGGAAAAAAGTGTCAGTAGTACTGTGTTATGATGATAGCATTATGGGTGACTTTTTCCTGTCATATTTTTCAAAATTTCATAAAATGACTTACTTTAAACTTATATTGATTCAACTATTTTATAATTTAAAAAAGTTTGGAAAACTTTTTCATAAATTATTTATCAGCTTTAAAGATATCACAATGGTTACTTCCCACTTAAGGACTTAATAAGAAACATATCTTTTAGAATAGATAGGGAGGCCGGGTGCCATGGCTCACACCTGTAATCCCAGCACTTTGGGAGGCTGAGGCGGGTGGATCACCTGAGGTCAGAAGTTCGAGACCAGCCTGGCCAACATGGCAACCCCGTCTCTACTAAAAATACAAAAATTAGCCAGGCATCGTGGCACGTGCCTATAACTCCAGCTACTAGTGGGGCTGAGGCAGGAGGATCACTTGAACCTGGGAGGCGGAGGTTGCAGTGAGCCGAGATCGTGCCACTGCACTCCAGCCTGGGCTACAGAGCGAGACTCCCATCTCAAAAATAAATAAATAAATAAATAAAATAAAATAAAATAAAAAAGAATAAATAGGGAGTTCCTACATCTGTCTTAGGTTATGTAGAGAAGAAAACTGGCCTTTATTTCACAATATTGCTATACTATGATTACTTTTTGGGTTTCATTATCTAGTTCAACTGAAATTTTTGTTTCTAGAGTATATAAGTAGAATTACATATATGTATTTAATTATATTTCTGAAGTTTGGGCACTGTTACATTTAGCAGCAGTTCATTCATTTTTATTGCTGAATAGTGTCCCACTGTATGAATATGTCACAACATAATTATCCATTCTATTGTGATGGATTTTTGGGTTGCTTCCAGTTTTTGGCTGATACGAATAAAGCTGTTAAAAACATTTGTGAACATGTCTTTTGTTACACATGTGCAAAAAGCATTAACCATAAAGGAAAAGATTGACAAATTGAACTATATTAAAGTGAAGAACTTCACCTCATCAAAAAGTGCCAGTAAGAGAAAGAAAAGGTAAGCCTTAGCACTAAAAAGATGTCTGCAAATATATGTCCAATAAAGGACTCATACATAAAGAACTCTTAAAAGTCAATAAGCAAAATAAAAACACATTAAAAAATGGTCACGAGACTAGACTAGGCAATTTACAAAAGAAGATATCCAAATGACCAATGAATATTTATCAGGGAAATGCAAATTAGAACACACACCTCAGAATAGCTAAAAATCTAAAATATTGATAATATCATGTATTAACAAGGACTTGGAGCAACTAGAAAAAATACTGATACACTAGGAAAACTGGCATTATCTACTGAAAAAGGACATATGCATATCTTATTATCCTGTAGTTCTACTCCTAAGAAGCAGCTCAACAGAAATACATACACATGTGCACAAAACAGATGCACCAGAACTGAACACAATGGCATTATCTTATAAATCTTTTCCTTTTAAATATACTTATTATTTAATGCTGTTTTCTGCTTAAAAATTAGTTTCATTGTACCAAGAAACACGAGACAGCCTTATCCTCAAAGAACACACATGCACAGAACCAGTCAAAATAGTGTTACTACAAAGAGTAAACAGAGATGATATGAAGCACCACAAAAGGACAGAAGCAGGAAATGTCTAACTAGGGATACTTGGGGAAGGCTTTATGCAGATGTTATTTGAATTGGTTTGTGAAGGATGAGTAGAAGTTCAGTGGGCACAGAAAGAAGAGCAAGGCAGAATATGTTTAGAAGAGACATGGCTTATTCTAGGAATGACAAGGACTTCCATCTGCCTAGAATGCAGTATTTCTGAGGGAAGAGAGTGATTCTTGTGAAATGAGAGCAGAAAACTAAGCTGATTCAAGAAACCGAAGGACCTATGCATACTAAGTGTGACTCATGCTTTAGAATGGAGTCTCGTGGATAAACTGCTTTGTACATACATTGTCTGCTGATTAATGAATGTCTATATTCTGTCTCTAAATAAGGTGAAAGCTCCTAGGAAGGGCCATATTTTTTTTTAAACTATATTCCTTCAGAGTCCATAAGCAATTATACAATAAATGAAGATACCTGTTTACTTTTACACCACTTTCACCCCATCCTAAACATAAAGGTTTCTAATCCATAACAACTTATGGAAAGGTTTGTCTTTATTTACGTCTGTTTCAGGTCATGTTACATAAGGGCAATATTCTGTTACCCAGAATATTCAAGTCCCTATTCTCTGATTGCTGAGGGTGGTCAGAATCAGATGAGAAGGAAAAAACAGCCTTAGGAAATGCTTCAAAGGAAATAAAAAACAAGCCAGACTAAGTAACCTTGTCCATCTCCTTACATTTCTCTCCCACTTCATTTACATCAGGGGTTCCCAGACTTAGGTTTGGTTCCTAGGTTTTATTCCTAGAGAGTTAGATTCAATAGGTAGGGCTGGGAGAGAGGGGCAGGGAAGGTATTTTAAAAAATGTCTAAAGATGTGAACACTGATTTTATAGAGAAAGAAAAATTTCCTTTTTTATAATTCTGCATTAAAACTGTAGCCTTCTGAAGTTCTAAAGAAAACTTCTGAGGGCATCCTGTGATCAGTTATTGATACTAACCTCTTAATATATGCCCAATGGATAGGATAAAACATAGTATGAATTCATATCTGGTCTACAGATGGAATAGAATAAATGAAAAAAAAAATTACTAAGAATGACCATTCTGTGAAGCAAGCAGTTACCCACCTGGCTCTGGGCCTCCAGTTTTATTTCCTCAGGAGTGGGTTTGGTCATTGGGGTTGGGTTTGTATTACATGGATCCATCTGTTCTTTCTTTTCCACTTTCACCTTTACATCATCCAGGCTCAGGTTTGGAGTTGATCTTAAATCTTTCTCATCTTTATCTAAAAGATAGCGTAGGAGCTGATGGTCTTTTGATTCTTTTTTCTTTGAAGCATCCAGTTCTAGTTTTATACTGGAGTTTCCTTGTACCTGTCCAGTCACTGACACAGAAGTAGATGCACTGTCCTTTTTATCAGGCTCGACAGACAAAGTGGTGATATCTGAGGGGCTACCCTCCTGTAAGAGCCGGTGTAGAATTTTATGCCGTTCTGTCAATGAGCTATGAGAAGAGGGACAAGAACCTCCTGAAGAGTTAGCAGAGGCAGAGTTGGAAGTGCCTGTGCAAGACAGGACATCTTTGCAGCTTGTGTCTATATCAGCATGCCGTAACTGCTGTTCGGCAGTTGTTGTCAAAAGCTGCACTAGTTTGTGACTGGTTTGAGAGTATTTACTGTCTCCATCTGAAAGTCTGTCATTGTTATGCAGAAGCCCTGAATCCAGAGGTTTGCCATCACTAGAGCTGTTGTCAGATTGAATCATTTCATTTAAAATTGAGGCAATCTCTTTGTTATCTTTGGACTCAGCTTTTGCTGGTTGTATATTTAATCTGCTAGGTGAATTCTGTGAGCTCATCTGCCTGAGGACTGGAGAACTGGCAGAGAAGCCAACGGAGTTATTGGGTCCTTCATTCATACCCTGTAAAGATGTTACTGGGATGTTTGAATAAGATCGGTTATTATTATTACAGGCACTACTTGTCATGCCAACGGGAGAGCTTAATGTCGAAATATTAGGAGGAAAGGAATTGTTTGGCATCCTGGGCCTTGTTGCCAATCCAGAAGTAACCTGTCTCCTTGGAGACATGAACTGTGCTAGGGATATTCCTGTACCTTCCATAGGAGAATTATTGAGGTTTAAAGAGGGATTACTGCTCTGTGAACTGGCCTGTCCTTGGTTTAAGGCAACATTGGCTACAATCTGACTTCCGGGTGAGCATCCGAAACTTCCTTGGCTGTTGCTAGAATTACTATGACTGCTGCTATGAAGGTCTGAGCTCTGCTGGCGGTTTATTCTGGTGGATACCATGTTGCTGTTGGATGGTGGCAATGTGGATGAACGAGCCACACCATGAGCTGGAGAGATACTAGGATTGACCGAGGGATTTACTCGGGGAATTGACATTCCAGAATTAGTGTCATCTTGAGGAGAAAGCCCACTGTGCTCCCTAGGGGGAAAAAGACATTATTATTCAAACATCTTCATTTGTTTCTATTAAAATATTTTTATGATACATATTCTAAAACAAGACCATTGATCTCATTAATATTGCAAGCTATCAAGTAAAGAGCTTCTGTACCATCTTAAATTAAGAAAAAAGTTTCTTAAATTAAGAAAAAACTACTGTAAAATATTAGCACCACTTAATAAGAAATAATGCTTATCGACTCTTACATTTGATAATGGTCTCAGTTATATGTAAAATATAATTTTATGTAAAATATAATGTAAAAATTTTTCTTGGTTTTGGAAAAAATCCAATATATGTTCTTTTAAACAATTTCTAAGCCTAATATACACAATTAACATTATAATAATTTTTTGGTTGAAAAATAAACTTCTCACACCTCTGTTTATAAAGCACTTATTTATGACTCCTGTTACAGCTTTTAAGTATTTCAACTCCAAAGAGGAAGACTGGGTAAGGAAAATACTGTGTCACTGATGTAAAAATTAAAAAGAGTGATATGCAGACATAGCAGATGTTTTGAAAGAGAAATCACAATATGAAAAAAAAAGAACTGTGCTAATTCCACTCACAAGCATAATTTAAACTAAAAGTAGAAAAAAACCACAATACTGAATTCAGGTTTTCAGTGAGTCCTTTACTCAAATTCATAATTATGACAACAGATTTGTGACTGGCATTACCATGTTCCAATAAGCAAATACATTAGATGAGAAAAAGATGAAGTGAGGGGAAATGTCTTTGTTTTTAATGCTACATTTTCACCACTGTAAATGTAGGATTTCTAATAATTCATAGGATAATAGTTTCATGAATTTACCATATATCAGTGTAAAACATACTTAGGGGAACAAATTAGAGACAATGGCACTCAAAAATCAAGTTGATAGTTTAATGATTTGTAATTTCTGTGAGAAATTGTCAACTTGAACTCAGGAGCCACCAAGTATGCCCTAATGAAAATAGAGCACTTTCAAAAATAAAAATAAAAATAACAATGTTAACAAACTCACAAATCTCTTATAAGATTCACATATGGAATGTTGTAAATTTTTAGCCATCTTTTTGGTTTTACCCTCTAAAAAGCAGATTTTCAGCCTCAGCTTTCCTACCTCCCTTTATGAACAACAAAGCTATTACATGATAAAACTATAAAACCCAATATGGATATATTGATTATATATACTCATCACACTAGTTTTACGCCTAATTTAGAATTTCTGCTTTCTAGCCATCAAGAGTATAAAAAATTTCTCTAATAAGAGATATGTGAACTGGCTTATTTCATATGAAGCTCTCCAAATAAGTAGTACCTGTCGATGATATGAATTCCCATGATGAAAGGTTGCATGTCTGGACTTTGAGGGTAGCAAAGTTTACACTTGGTGTGGGCGCTAAGCATTGTCCCATCATTCAATATGAATCTATAGGAGGGGCTGGAGGCAGTGCCACGAGTCATCACTGTTTCAAACAGAAGAGAAACCTAGTTAAAATTCTGATACTTATACGCTGGCTTTAAGTCACCAGGTTTTATTTCTACTTAGAACCTCATTTTAAAGGCCCTCCCAACTGTTGCCTGCTTAGACTCAGAATAAAGAATAGTTCAGACAAAGCAGATATCTGAGGGGGAAGATGATTCCAGTTGAAATATACCACTTGATGACAGGTTTTAATTGAGTCATAGTTGAATGGGTGCCTCCTCAGAGAAGTTATAATTATGAGAAAACCCCAAATCTGGGAAACATCAACTTTAGTCTTTTTTTTTTTTTCTTTTGAGACAGAGTCTCACTCTGTCGCCCAGGCTAGAGTGCAGTGGCACGATCTCGGCTCACTGCAACCTCTGCCTCTGGGGTTCAAGCAATTCTCCTGCCTCAGCCTTCCAAGTAGCTGGGACTACAGGCACCCACCACCATGGCTAATTTTTGTATTTTTAGTAGAGGCAGGGTTTCACCATGTTGGTCAGGCTGGTCTTGAACTCCTGACCTCAAATGATCCATTCACCTTGGCATCCCAAAGTGCTGTGATTACAGGCGTAAGCCACCGCGCCTGGCCCAACCTTAATCTTTCTCTATACTGGGGGCAGCTCTTCAAATTTATTGTCTCCATTAAAAATACCAGGAAATATTTTTCTCCCCTCTCACTCTCAGTATTATCTTTAACAAGTTTGTTTTCTCTTTTGCTGGTTTTTTTTTAAATAACAGCTCTACTAAGATATGACTGACACACCATAAAATTTACTAAGTTTTGATCAGTTTACAGAGTTCCTTAACTAATATTCAAATTTAACTTTTCACTCAGGAATGTGAATCACTAAGGTCCCATTTGACAAGTTATTTATAAATATGTGTAAAATCTGTGTACTATTTTTAATGTTTGAATTTTTAAAGTTTAGTAAGCAAATTAAGATGTAGCCAATGGTTATTAGTATAAGGAACAAAAACTAAGTTAAGGCAGTCAAGTCACTTTATAAGTAGCATAATTTACTCTTGTCTTAAAGCTTTACTAACAGCAGAAAAAATTCTAATCATGTAAGTATTTATTAAATACGTAAAGGCTATGCCAGACTATTATGTAATAAAATATCACTGATGTTTTAATAATACCATATAATTCTATTTTAAGAAAGATTGAGTACTACCACAAATGACTATTATAATTTAGCCTGTGATAAAATGTTAGTCCAATTTTTCAAAGACATTTCAAAGGGGCTTTGATTACATTTTAAAGGCCATGAGAAAGAGGCTTAAAATTACCAATTAATAAATAATTTTTGAAGTTACATGTTACTTAAACAAGACATGTTCTATTTTATTGTCCTGTGTATACAGTACCAACTGAAAAAGGTATAGTTTAATGTAAATCTATACCATAATATATCTGCTTAAGTACCAAAACCAGAATATAAATTTAATTGAAAGGATAAGACTTATATTTGACCAACCACATTCTTTACACACCTGGCAATTTCAGCTAAATCACTGGCATACTTACTAAATATAATGTATCTAAACTAGGAAAAATTCCTGAATTTAGGGAAGCCTATTAATTTAATACAAGACAATTACCACACTTTATGTTTTGAAATTAGATTATTTGTTTTGGATGAGAATGTATGGACTAAGATTTGGCATTTAATAATTCATTCAGCCATTCTTGGAAATGAGAAAGAGGCAATATTTAATATGGTAAAACTTCAATTAATTAGAACTCAGTAAGACTCTCCAGTTAACTAAAAGTCTGGTGCTTAATTGTTCAGATGAAGAGGTCAAAGGAAGGCAGCATAAATCAATGAAAAGAGTAACAGCCTAGGAGTCAGATTCAGGCTTGACCTCTCACTGTCATTTACAAGTTTAAGACTTAATGCAAATTAACATTCACCCATCTCAGTCAACTCATTACTAAAACTGAGCCAACAACATTGTAAGATAATATCTAGCACGGAGCCTAGCATGGAGTACATATCAGGTATTGAATGAGTATTTCCTCAATAAACATCAGAGGGAAAAAAACCCAACAAATACGCAGCTTCCAAAGTATTTATGTTCTGAGTCACACACATAGTCAATCCCTAGACACTATTTATGGCAACAGCTTCAACTCTGAATAACAATCACTAATACTTTGAATTAAGAGATGAGTAAGGTAGCCACAGCTCCTTACAGAGTTGGTTCAATAAACATTTGCCGTACACATCAAATTTTCCCTTTAAGTGGGTTTCAAGGTTTAGTTTTGGAATCCCATTTTGTTTATAGGTCCTGGCCTAGTTTTCTGACCTAATTTTGTCATCTTTATACCTAGTATTCTGATCTCTGATTCCTGTGTCCATTTCTAAACTCCTTAGAACACTTAGTGAGGAAAGATAATATTGAAGGACTATTATTGACACCTCAGAATCCTTCCAAAGAACCTTTAACATGACAGCCGCTTTTATTTATTTATTTTTTATTTATTTTTATCCCTAGAATAGGCCTCAACAGAGCTACAAAGCAAAAGAAACATTAAATTTTCCCTGGTTACAGCAGCTGTAGAAGCAAAGTTTTTGGGTTTTTGATCCCTCCCAATTTGGTGCTGAGATAACCTCAAACAAGCATGCCTGACTGATATTAACAAAATAGGCAGGTGAAAAAATGTGTGGCAGGGTACTATGGGTCAATGCCGGTAGAGGTTTATTTTTCTTTGTGGTAGTCACCTAAATATATGCAGAAAAAGATAAAGAATTAAAAAATTGTTATTAGGTACAGAAAAAATAATTACCCCTAGATGTTCTAAAATTCTCAATCACCAATGAGTAAACTCTATTATATCAAAATCACTAAGAGGACAGTAAACTCACATTTTAAATATTTTTAACAAAGTTTGACATAAAAAGATTTTCAGTTGTTACATGGACCGTGGACTTAATCACATTACACAAGTCTCAAAGAACATTCTAATTAATCATTGATATCGGTACTTTATGTTTTATAGCAATGCTTCCAAACTTAATACCATAAACCCTTTCCAGCTTTGACTCATGATATATTTTTTTTCTTTTTTTGAGACAGGGTCTCCCTCTGTCACCCAAGCTGGAGTGCAGTGGCATGATCTCGCCTCACTGCAACCTCCGCCTCCTGGGTTCAAGGGATTCTCCTGCCTCAGACTCCCGAGTAGCTGGGATTACAGGCTCATGCCACCACGCCTGGCTAATTTTTGTATTTTTAATAGGACAGGGTTTCGCCATGTTGGCGAGGCTGATCTCAAATTCCTGTGCTCAAGCGATCCTCACACCTCAGCCTCTCAAAATACTGGGATTACTGGCGTGAGCCACCATGGCTAGCCTTAACTATATTTTTTAAAAGATGAAAATGGCTTTATTTTAATATAAAGTTAATAGAGAGATGAACAAAGAACAAGTCAAGTCATTTGTAATTCCATCATGCAGAGATAAACAGTTAAAATTTTGTTAATTTTCTAGAATTGGATAAATAGAAAGATATGTAAAAGTGAGATCATATTATATATGCTGTGCTCTCTTGGTCTACTCTTTTTTTTTTTTTTTTTGAGACAGTGTCTCACTCTGTCACCCAGGTTTGAGTGCAGTAGCATGATCAAGGCTAACTGAAGTCTTCACTTCCTGGGCTCAAGCAATTCTCTCATCTCAGCCTCCCGACTAGCTGGGACCATACCTGTGTGCCACGCCTAGCTAATTTTTGTATTTTTATTTTTTGTAGAGATGAGGTTTCGCCATGTTGCCCAAGCTGGTCTTGAACTTCTGGACTCAAGCAATCCTCCTGTCTCAGCCTCCCAAGGGCTGGGATTACAGGCATGAGCTACTGTGCCCAGCCACCTACTTTTTAATATAACAATATGTCATGGATATTTCAAAGACAAGAAAAGATGATCCATTACATCATTATATATATATATAAACAGAACTTTCATACAACTAGTTTCTAGGTTGTATAGCCTGACATTTCCCATGACTACTATCTAACTGCTGATAGATGTGCTCCAGGAAAAAGTATTCTGTGAAAAAAAAGTCTCAATAACAAAATTTAAAAGGTATTTTTATTGTAGAACTTCTCAGAAACTTAAATACCTTAAATATATCTTATAAATCACCTAAAGTGGGATTACCCATAAAACATCATTTCCTAGTTATAGTTATTAAGTTTGTGGAACCTAGGTTCATAGTTTACAAACTTCTCTGTAAGTAAACATCTTAGACTATAGACTCTGATTCAGTAGTCCGGGGTGGGGTCCAGAAATCTAGTTTAACAACTGCCCCAGATAAATCTATCTTATCAGGGACCTTGGGAAGCACCATGACCTAGATATTTCTTTAAAGTAATAGTTTTGAATTGAACAGAACCTGGGAACTTTTTCCAAACTATACACACTTGCATGGATCTTCTCCTAGTTTAAAAAGTTCCTCAAGTGATCCTGATACCCATTTCCCTCCAATCTCAATGTAAAACCGTGGCTTTAATCTAATTCATGCAAGGTGAAATGTGTTTTCAAACTTGATTCTGGAAAATATAATAGTAAACTCCTTTTGACAGCAGTTCATGAGCTGACTGTCAAAAGCAGCTAAAAAACTAAACTAAAACTAGAAATTTTAACGCATGTTAGGATTTTAGACTAGTTGCTGCCATCAAAGAGTAAGTTAATGGACAGGAAAAAAGAAAACAGATGGAGGACAAACTTTTCCTGCCTAAATATCATTCACTGTAAAGTTCTACACAAAATCAGGAAGATAGTACATAATCTGTTTCACTCTTTTTATACTGTCCCTAAGTGAAAAGGCAGCAAGAAAACTGCAAATGCAAATAACACCTCTCTCCAATCTTGATGGACCAATGATTGTCAAACTTAAGCATTATTACTATTATTATTATTATTATTATTATTATTATTATTATTAGCGATGAAGTTTCGCTCTTGTTGCCCAGGCTGGAGTGCAATGGTGCGACCTTGGCTCACCGCAACCTCCACCTCCCGGGTTCAAGTGATTCTCCTGCCTCAGCCTTCCGAGTAGCTGGGATTACAGGACTGCGCCACCATGCGCGCTAATTTTGTATTTTTAGTGGAGATGGGGTTTCTCCAAGTTGATTAGGCTGGTCTTGAACTCCCGACCTCAGGTGATCCACCTGCCTCGGCCTCCCAAAGTGTTGGGATTACAGGCATGAGCCACTGCACCCGGCCAACTTAAGCATTAGCTTTAAGGTTTGTTAAGATATCTGGGCAGGCCTTCATTTGATATTTTAATTCAGCAGGTCACTATCTTTAACAGGTGATTCTCATGAAAGTGTTTCATTGACCACATTTCTCATATCTGGCTAGATACTGCTGAATAGAAAATATCAAAAAAGGCTGTGCTCAATCCACAAAACCTGTTTGTCAGGTTGTTTAGAATCTCCAAAACACTCGATTCAGTCACGTGAACTTTGGACAACTTGATTCTAAGAAAAATACAGTTATTTCTATTGAGGATTTTTTTTCCCTAAAAAAAGTAGAATGAGGGAACATTAAAAATGACTAATGGGGAAGAGGTATTGGATTATACTTACATTTCTTGACATTTTACTCTAAATTATTTCAGTTTATATATTAATGACAAACTAGTTACTTATAATACTTTAATCAATTCATTGTATGGGGAATTCCGTTGAAGGTTTAGAAACCTTCAACTGTAGCCTAGTCACATCTATGGGGAGCCTAGCCATTTGGATAATAAGACAAGCCAGATCTGCTTTGCCTTAGTGAAAATGTACGTAAATTATAGGCAAATAAATTAAGTCTTTTAAGTAAAGCCTTGGAAGGCCCAACTTAAGGCAAAAATCAAAAGTACCATAAACTCGAGAACTTCAGGCAATGAGTCGAAACAGTGCTCTGAGTCCCAAACCTATGCAAAAGTCAAGCATCACCCTTGCCAGAGGAAATCACAAAGTTCACATCCAGTGGACGGCATTAGTTACTTATTGTAATGGTTTCCAAACCTGGCTGCCCTTCAGGATTGCCTGGGAAACTTTTAAAAAATACAGATTCTTAGCTCTACCCAGTGAAATACAATCTTAGGAGGTGGTATAAGTCTAGTAAGGAGCCCATTAGAGAACCACTAGTCTGTACGAAGCTGTTCCAGAAATACCTGGATTGTGATATTTATATAGATGTTTCCTGGAAGAAGAAAAAAAATCAAACTACTTCCTCCATGTATCACTAGGAAGCAGTTGACCTAAAATGTAATGAATGGAAAATCATCCGTAAACTTAGGAAATCTAATGTTATGGGAAAAATGTTAAAATTAAGAATGACAAAATAATGAAACATATTTTTAAATTGTTTTTCAGGAAAAGCCATACAATGAGATTCTTACAAAAGAAACTATCTAGAGATTAGAGAATAAATTTCATTGGAAAAAGAATGTTAGGCTACCATAATTAAATGACAATATTTTTAAAGTATATCAAAGCCATTTAATTCTGAACTTCTGTAAACTTTCTGGCCTTAATTCTCAAATAACTTTTCCTATCGTTCCTGTAGTACTGTTAAGTTTCTTAAGGGCAGGGAATATACATATCTTATACTTCCATGATACTTACTAAGACCCAGAAGCTATGCAATAATTAATAATTTCATAGGATATATTTTTTGACTTGAAATTTCAACCTGAGTCAGGAGATACAGGTTCTGCAACAGTCATGAAGTAAACAGGCATGATACTGATCTCTGTATTATCTAGAAGGCCTTTGACATGCTTGTTCTGCTGAGAATGATCTTCAAGAGCCAAACAAAATATTACTTCTTTTCTGAAGTCATCCTTGATTCTTCAAGTCAGAATTAATTTTTTTCTTCTTTGGTTATGGTTCTATCATACCCCACATCAAACTGATCTTTAGGGTTGTCGTATATTTTCCTACTGTATTATAAGCTCTTTAAGGGCAAAACCTTCTTTTTTAGTCATCACTGTATCCCTGGCACCTTATATAGTGTTCTACGTATGTTGGGAACTTGATACATGCCTGCTGAATGAATGAATGAATGAATGAGTGACCACCACACAACATCCTATTCTTCAGAACGTGTATCCCAAATTTCAGGATCCACTCATGAATTACTTTGCTTACCCATTTCTTCCTTTCCTAAAACTGATTATTGCAAAAACTATAATTTGGAGAAAATACTTATCAAGCCATAAGTTCTATACGAACTATTCAAATATCAGTAAAGATAAGGGTTAATGAAAATAATTGAGAGAGAAAATTTTACCTTCTTGGAACAGCTGTCTGGCATAAGATGGTTCTCTGCCCTGAGGTTGGAAAAAAGCATAAATGCACTTCCTCACTAAATCTTCCCAACCAGTTCTGCCAGCAGCTCTCAGGGAACTAGTATCAATAGAGATGATTTTACCTGTACAAAGAATGAAAGTTTATATTTATAACAGCCTCTTTATATAAATCATCTGTATTTCAAAACTAACAACTGCATCTAAGAAATATTCTTTCCAAATACTCAATAAACAAAAGCATCAAAAAGCACTATTAATTTTTATTATAGTTATGAAGTATGTTATTGACATAAGAAATTGTTTTGGTCTTAGAATGTGTTATGTCCTAGTATGTCATATTCTAAAATTCAATTCTGGTCTAGGATTAAAGTCATACCATAATGACCTGACACTACTGAGACTAATGCAGTTCAAACTCTTCTGGCTTGGTCTTTGGATTCTGCTCTCTGTATACTGATGACCGATTGGAAAGGAGAGGCAAAGATGAAGTATATTTTTTGGTTTAAATTAATTTCTAACTACTAAGTGAAGAGAATATGAGAAAAGAAGCAAGCCTTTTCCTTTCTAACCTTTGTTGGGCTGTAGGCAATACTGTATTTAAGACTAAACAAAGACTGAAGACAACAAAAGTTAAATCAGAAAAACAGTAAGTGAGAACATTAAGATTTGCTAGGCAGTATGCACACGGAACATACGCTTTATAAAATTTAGTGGTGATTCGCCATTGTTATCATATTTAAACAAATTTCCAAATGGCTATGAGAGAATTCAGGTAAGTTATTCCTCAGTTAACAGAGGGCCAATTAATCCAGTTTGTGAATATTAAGACCTGTTTTATTACGTTTTACAGAATCTTACAGTCACACAAAATAATACAAGATATATATAGAATATATATATATAAATTAAGAATTAATGAGATAAAAACCTGCCAACCCACCACTCAACTTCAGAACTTGACGTTACCAATATTGCTCCATCACATGTGCACTCCTCCCTTGTCACCACCCCCATCTTTAAATTCTCCTGTGAATGGGCATCTAGACTGTTATCGGTTTTTTGCCATTACAATCAGCACTGCTATGAACATCTTTCACGTGTTGCATGGTACATGCATGTGAGAACTTCTCTAGTGTATATATGTAGGAACAGAATTGTTAGATTGTAGGTTATGTGAATGTTCAACTTTATAATATTAATTTTAAACTGTCTTCCTGAAACTTGTACCACTCTATGCTTCCACCAGCAATGTGTAAGAGTTAGTGCTAATCTAACATCCTTTCATCACTTGTGTTGTCAGGCTTCTTTATGTTTTCAAATTAGTAGGTGAAAAATGCTATCTCATTGTGGTCTAAATTTTTATTTCCCAATTATTAGAGTTCACCACTAATGTTTCCTCTTCTATGAATGCCTGATTAAATATTTTCCCCATCTTCCCCTTCTTCATACAATCAACTCAAATCTATCATCCAGTTTGTGCCTCCTCATTGAACTAATCCCCTCTTTATATATCTCATTTTGTTTAGAAATAAAATATTCATTAGACCTTTTTAACTTCGGGTCTTGAATCTGATGTACCCAGTCCTACTTGATCAGGTTATCACCTAAGTCTTGGCATAAATGTAAATAGTAGAAAGAAAATAAACTGAAACTCAAGGAAATTTTGTCATTTAAGAACAGTTTGGGGAAAGCCTGGTGAACACTGTAACTGAAACTATAAAAGATTTTAGATTTTTAAGAATTTTAATTGTTCAACCCTTGTTTCTTATGTCAGAGATAAAAAGTTGGTTATAGCAGGGATTCCACTGCTACATAATCTTCCTATACAATAATGCTCCTCACAGGCAGTGACTAAGGGAGGCATATGCATGTGTGTGTTCATGTCAGGGTTGGCCCCACCAGAGAGCATGAGAGTTTAGAGTTTGGGGACTGGCAGGAGAGAAAGTGATTAAGTTATCAGCAATGGTACCAGATGGGTAATATAATGACTATCTTAGTGAAGAATCATGAACAGCTTGATTTAGAATACTCTGCCTACTACAGGAAAGTTTAACCAACCAACTAAACAACAATAAAAAGCCCCACTGTTCAACATTTCCTAGTAAAATACTTTTTTCTTTTTTTAAGAGATATGGATCATCCCATGAAGAGTTAAAAAGTACTACAAAAACTTAAGAAATTAAATGTTTAACATTTATTATACTTATTCTTTTTAGCTAAGTCAATTCTATGATTTATATAATGTTAGTTTTACATTTTAAGCATATTTTATATTTCCTTGGTATCTTTGTACAATAACTGTGTACAGTATAGTGATGCCCTTTTAATAGTGCTTTAGTGAAAAGTAATGTAATACAAGAAAGGGCTCCACATTAGGGCCTAAAGGTGTCCATTCTCGGCAAAGGGCTGTATGGTTTTGATCAAATCACCATCCCCTCATTTGTAAATCTAGGTTGGATTCTGTGATATTGGAGGTTCCCTCTCTCTCTATATATATATAGTTATTTTATGGCCCAGAGGCTAATTTTTTATTTTACATGATTATGGTTATTTTTATATATTTATACATATTACCAGGTATATCTAAAATTTTAACAGCTGGGTTCTTAGAAACAAAACTACCAGGGATAACACTGTTCTTATGGGAAAATACAGTCCTCAAAGCAATCCAATTTAGAATTCAATTTATACAAATGCAATATGAGGAAAAGCTGAAACATATTGTTCCTAAATTAGCCTCATAACTTTTAGGCCTCCCCCATCTCTGACATTTTTTCTGTGACCTGACAATAACCTTTTTCAACATGTTTTCATTCTGCTATCTCACAAAGCCCTTATTTGGTTTCTTTTTATGTTAACTGGTTACTGACAGAAAAGACCAATTTTCTTTTTCAATGGACTCTATTTTTCCTTCATGCAAAATACTTTCAATTTTCAATAATTAAAAAAAAATTTTAAAAAAATTTAAATAAATTTTTGTTTTTGGACAAACCTACATATCCATAGTACGTTTATTAAATTTTTCCAGTGTTGTTCATGGTAGAGACTGGAAAGGAACATAATACATGGTAGACTCAAAAACAGAATGAAGAAGGCTATGATAATTGATAATTACTATCCTTAGATGCCATCTCTCCATGCTCAGAGACATTCTCTTTACCATTTTCTATTATCTGTGCTAATTTATCCATACTAGTTCTTTAGTAAGAGCAGTTGGAAGTTTATCTCTAAAAACACAAGCACAAAGTATACAACATTAGAATATTAGATTATTGGCACTAAAAAATTAATACATAATGAAATAGGATCTTATAAAAAGGTGGTAAAAGTCAAAATGTACACTAAAACTAAACTTTCACAAAGCATAAAATTCAGAAGAAATTATTTTTAAAATCTTAGTCTGCTAGAAAATATACCTTTAATATTTATCTCTATTTTAAAATTAGAGAGGTAAGTGATATATATGTAACTCTGGTTGTCGTAAAAGCATGAACATACAACATGTTAGTGTAAAGATAAAATCAAATAATATAAGAAAAATACTTCATCAACTATAAAGAACAGTAACAACTTGTTCTTGCTGAAAATA
This sequence comes from Homo sapiens, assembly GCF_000001405.40. NCBI lineage: Eukaryota > Metazoa > Chordata > Mammalia > Primates > Hominidae > Homo > Homo sapiens. The sequence goes on along the minus strand of NC_000002.12, from coordinate 24,694,190 downwards.
AAATCTGAAGTAGGCCTTTAAGAAGAATGCCTTATTTATAGGCAGTCTGTTACTCAGTTTGAGGCTCTCCTGCCCTCCTTCTAGTACTTCTAACTTACCTCTCTGTCTTGCTTATCTTTAGACTTCTGCAGCTCTGGTTCCTCAATTAGGAGTACTCGTTCTGCATCAAGACCCTTTCTTGCTGCCCCCCTTCCAAGACCCATACTTTAAGTAGTGGGCACCACTTCATCCTTTGGGGCTCAGTATCAGCTCCTCAGACAGGCCTTTGCTGACCAACTAATTTCATATATCCTCCCTTATACCATCTCATAACTTCCATCATCAAAAATAACACAATTTGTCACTGAATCATTTTTGTTCAACCATATACATCTTGAGGAATCACCTAATGACAGGCACTTCTAGGGACTCAATCGGTATGTGCTAAATAAATTTAAAGAAAAAGAATTAAAAAAAAAAATAGCCAGATACGTTTAAGCATAATAGTAAAACTACCATATTCATATCTATTTAAATAAATGTATGTATATCTACATATTTACATATCTATATCTTCTCAATTTCTTTAAACATTTTATTCCATGATTTGAAAAATAATTTGTAATCAAACAAATATAGGTATATAAAGTTATAAAAAGTGTTCCCCAGCACCCTGACCATGATAATGATCATAGTATCTAAATTGTATAATCTCAAGAGCACCATTTAAAATGTTTTCTGTATAAGACTAGGGAGCAAAGCCTAAATCTCATAGAACAGAAAGACATTCTGGATATAATTAGTTTTAAGGGCAGAGTCACATTATTAATACCTATGGAACATTCTGAACTTTACAATTAGTACCTGTAGTATCTTGCTTGGTCATAAAGGATTCTACACCCGTAATAGCTGGAGGCCGAGGTAATCGCCGTGCAATACAAATCAGACATGACTGGAAATCTGCCCAAAACAAGACGGGGAAATTGAAGGATAGAGAGTAGAAAATGGTTTATATCTATCACTCGCCATTAATGGTTTTCATAAAAACAATACATGTTGGCCAGACGTGGTGGCTCACGCCTGTAATCCCAGCACTTTGGGAGGCCGAGGTGGGTGGATCACAAGATCGAGACCATGCTGGCTAACACGGTGAAACCCTGTATCTACTAAAAAACACAAAAAAATTAGCCGGGCATGGTGGCGGGCGCCTGCAGTCCCCGCTACTCGGGAGGCTGAGGCAGGAGAATGGCGTGAACCCGGGAGGTGGAGCTTGCAGTGAGCCGAGATCACGCCACTGCAGTCCAGCCTGGGCCACAGAGCGAGACTCCGTCTCAAAAAAACAAAAACAAAAACGTGTTACAGCACCTGACATAATATTGCATAATACTGAAATCATTCTTATCTAATAGTGTATTAGAAATAAAATTGCTGGCAACCAAAAACTGACAGCTCCAGGTAGAGAGTTAGTTGGCATAAACCATTCCTTCCTATTGAATGCTCTTATATATACCAGAGGAGAGAGATGCATCTCATGTACTGGATGATAACAACTACAAGTAGTAGTTTTGGTTAGATATAAGTGGCACAGTGTTTTTTAAAATACAGTTTTGTAGTCAATTTCTTATATTCACCAGTACTTAATGGCTAAAAAGATTATTCTTATAACCACAGTGTAGATAATTATATGAGAAAAACAACCTTTAACTCTGAAGCACTATTTTGCTCTTGACAGATGACTTCATGTTTTTAGGATATACAATTTTTTCAAAGTCCCATTCCCAAGTTTTGTTTTGAGGATGTTAAACACAATATCACACAGCTAAAAATGAACTTTAATCAAGTAAGATTTGGCATGTGTATTTTGTAAAAAGTCTCCAGTTGATTGTTACCTCCGTTTCCTGGTGAGACCTGCTACATACATGGCTTTCTTGCATCTGACTGACTTCTTGTCTACTACCTTCCCTTGTCCTTACTCCAGTTCCCAATTTGTGATTTTCTAAACTTAGCCCAGTCTAAGTTTACATGGAAAACTCATCCACTGTCACATATTTAACTAATTCCATGTTGACACCATGTTCATATTAGAGCTTCAGCATGTTTCCATCTGTTCTTAAGTTTTCTCCTTATAAATTACCTTGTATAGCCTGAAAAATGCCAACTCTATTCTCCAATGTTCCCTACACTCTAAACTTGAAACTTTCTAAAAATCAGAGCTGTTCAACAGTCTGCTGCATCTGGTACATTTCCAACTGGCAGCAGTTAGTTACATCTCTTATTTCTAGACAGCAAGTTGGTTTGAATTATTTGACATTTTAGTGGGAATGCCAGCTTAAAACTGAGAATCTGGGGGGCATATTAAAGGAATGATTCTAGATGTTAGTAATTATTGTTTTTTAAGTATTAAGAATATATAGCAAATGGAATAGCCACTATGATACATATTATAGTAACCAAAAATACTATCTGAAAAAGGCAGTTTATAATTAATTTCCTCTCTTTTCCTTAAAGTCACAGAAGAAATAAACACTTTAAAAAGACCGTTTGGCTTTACCTTCTCCATCCTCTTGAATTGATTTTGGCTGTGACACAGTGAAACACTGCATTACTTCATAACGCTGGCAAGCTTCTTGGTTCTCGGTCCCTGGCTCATCTGGAGGGTGAATTAGCATCCTGCAGTTAAAGGTATGGCTATTTCGTCGTGTTGCCTCTTGAGGCCAAGGAACTCCATTTACTGAGGAAGAAAAATTGATTATGTGCTTGCGAATATGGTGAAAAAGCACAAACTCTGAAGATACAAAAGATGTACTTTAAGCCATCTGCTTAATTAGATACTCAGATTAAAAGACAGACTGACCTCTTCAGATCTAACATTATCCTGAGGCAATAGAATACTTATCTCCCTAGCAAATCTAAATGTCTACCAATTAGAAAACTGTAACATTTCCAAGAAAATACGTATGATCTTCCCCTCAAATACTATAATCAAAGGCAAAAATTAAAAATTAAAACTTACTAGCCATTTTGCTCAGAATTTTACAGCAGTTAATGAGTTTTTCAGTTGGTTTCCAGTTATACTTTGACAATGAAAAAATGATTCAAAACCACAGGTACATTGGTAAGTGGGGTTTTAACTTGGCAATCACGGATTCTTAAGGTTGGCTTTTGTGTGGATGTGCACCTTTCTGGGGAAGAAGATTTCAATTTTCTCAGAGTCTGTCACTCAAAAAAAGTATTAAGAATATAGCGCAATCTCAATTTCTCATAACCATTTTTTCCTTTTGCTTTATTTTACTTAACTAGCACAGTTCATATGCTACAATACCTTGGATATAGTGGATAATCAATATTATTATGTAAAAAAAGACTGCTAAAAAATAAATGTTACCTGATCCAGTATAGGAAAAATGAATTCAGTTGTTGAAAAGGTATCTATTTCAAGTAAAAACCACGTGTGGTAGCTCATAATTTCCCAGTCACAGTGTCATGTTTAAATCACGTGGTCATGAGATGATCAGAGGGTTTTTAACACTGCCTTTTTTTTTTTTTTTTTTTTTTTTTTTGAGATGGAATCTCACTTTGTCACCCATGCTGGAGTGCAATGGTGTGATCTCGGCTCACCACAACCTGCGCCTCCTGGATTAAAGTGATTCTCCTGCCTCAGTCTCCTGAGTAGCTGGGATTATAGGTGTGTGCCACCACGCTGGGCTAATTTTTTATTTTTAGTACAGACAGGGTTTCACCATGTTGGCCAGGCTGGTCTCGTACTCCTGACCTCATGATCCACCCATCTCGGCCTCCCAAAATGCTGAGATTACAGGTGTGAGCCACCACGCCTGGCCAAGGCTGCTTTTTTACTGTTCCCAAACGTTTTCCTACCTTAAACTCTCCAATGACCCTCCTTCCTTTTTTCCATCTCATCCTTTATTAAGTGTTAGAGGAAATCATGGAAACAAACCTATACTGGAGTAAGAAGTCCTGGGTTCTGCTATTAGCAAGTTCTAAGGTTTGGGTTAATCTTTGATGCTCATTGTCTCATTTTTTAAAATAAAAGAATCTACTACCTTATCTCTAAAGTCATTTATACTTTAAAATTTCAAAATAAAATACATAAGATACCTTGATACTTGATTCAAATATCAGTAGTGATTTTAATAGAAAGAATCATTTCAAGTCCCCAGTTACAACAAACATATATGACTATTTTCAAAAGGAAATGAAGTTTCTATTCTGTTGGGGGAACAATGTGGAAAATGAAGAGCTATGAATAACATTTTTATATGCATGTCTGGTTTAGTTATATAGGATTTCTGTCCAAGGTCCTCCCCTCCACTTTTGGAGCATATATAGGCTAAAGAGTGGAAGGAAAGGGAGGAAAAAAAGAAAAATGAATGTAAAAATTAGCATATCCATTCATTTTTAGAGCTCTCTTCTCATGTACTGAATAAATGGATTAAGTTGTCTAATTATTAGGAAAACTCTCCAACTAAAGTAAATAGACCCTATGATAAAAAAATGGATTTGTGCCACGCGTGGCGGCTCACGCCTGTAATCCCAGCACTTTGGGAGGCTGAGGCGGGCAGATCATGAGGTCAGAGATCGAGACCATCCTGGCTAACACAGTGAAACCCTGTCTCTACTAAAATTACAGAAAATTAGCCAGGTGTGGTGGCGGGCACCTACCAAGTAGTTGTCCCAGCTACTTGGGAGCCTGGGAGGCGGAGCTTGCAGTGAGCCAAGATTGCACCACTGCACTCCAGCCTGGGTGACAGAGTGAGACTCCATCTCAAAAAAAAAAAGGATTCGTTAACACTACTCAAAGAAATCAGAGATGACACAAACACATAGAAAAACATCCCATGCTCATGAATAGGAGGAATAAATATCATTAAAATGGCCATACTGCCCAAAGCAATTTACAGATTCAATGCTATTCCTATCAAACTACCAATGACATTTTTCACAGAACTGGAAGAAATTATTTCAAAATTCATATGGAACCAAAAAAGAGCCCAAATAGCCAAGGCGATCCTAAGCAAAAAGAACAAAGCTGGGGGCATCATGTTATCTAACTTCAAACTATATTACAGGGGTACAGTAACAAAAACAGTATGGTACCAAAATAGAATACCGAGCCTAGAAATAGGGCGGCACACCTACAGCCATCTGATCTTTGACAAAGCTGACAAAAACAAGCAATGGGGAAAGGACTCCCTAGTCAATAAATGGTGCTGTGATAACTGGATAGCCATATGCAGAAGATTAAAACTGGACCTCTTTCTTACACCATATACAAAAATCAACTCAAGATGGATTAAAGACTTAAATGTAAAACCCAAAACTATAAAAAACTTTGGAAGACAACTTAGGCAATACCACTCTGGACATAGGAATGGGCAAAGATTTCATGATGAAGATGCCAAAAGTGATCAAAACAAAAGCAAAAATTGACAAATGGGACCTAAATATAAGATCATCTGCACAGCAAAAGAAACTGTCAAGAGAGTAAACAGGCAACCTACAGAATCGGAGAAAATATTTGCAAACCATGCATCTGACAAAAGTCTAATATCCAGTATTCATAAGGAACTTAAACAAATTTACAAGGAAAAAACAACCCCATTAAAAAGTGGGCAAAGGACATCAACAGACACTTTTCAAAAGAAGACACACATATGGCCAACAAGCATGTGAAAAAAAGCTCAATATCACTGATTATTAGAGAAATGCACATCAAAACCACAATGAGATACTATCTCACACCAGTCAGAATAGCTATCATTAAAACATCAAAAAATAACAGATGCTGGCAAGGCTGTGGGCAAACGGGAATGCTTATACACTGTTGGTGGGAGTGTAAATTAGTTCAACCATTGTGGAAAGCAGTGTGGTAATTCCTCAAAGAGCTAAACAGAACTACTATTTAACCCAAATATCTCATTACTGGATATATACCCAAAGGAATATAAATCATTCCACCATAAAGACAGATGCAAGTGTATGTTCATTGCCACAGTATTCACAATAGCAAAGACATGGAGTCAACCTCAATGACCATCAAGGCAGACTGGATAAAGAAAATGTAGTACATACACACCATGGAATACTATAACAGCCATAAAAAGAATGAGACCATGTCCTCTGCAGGAACATGGATGGAAATGGAGGCCATCATCCTTAGCAAACTAACGCAGGAACAGAAAACCAAACACTGCATGTTCTCACTTATGAGTGTGAGCTAAATGATGAGAACTCATAGACACAAAGAGGGGAAGAACAGACACTGGGGCCTAATTGAGGGTGGAGGCTGGCAGGAGTAAGAGGATCAGAAAAAATAACTATTGGGTGCTAGCCTTAGTACCTTGGTTGATATGGTTTGGCTCTGTGTTGCCACCCAAATCTCATCTCAAACTGTAATCCCCACATGTCGAGGGAGGGACCTGTAATCCACATGTGTTGAGGGAGAGAGGTGAATGGATCATGGGGGCAGCTCCCCCCATGCTGTTCTCGTGATGGTGAGTTCTCAAGAGATCTGATGGTTTTATAAGCGTCTGGAAGTTCCTCCTTTGCTCTCTCTCTCTCCTGCCTCCTTGTGAAGAAGGCAATTGCTTCCTCTTCTCTCATGATTGTAAGTTTTCTGAGGCCTCCCCAGCCATGTGGAACTGTGAGTCAATTAAACCTCTTTCCTTTATAAATTACCCCAGTCTCAGGGAAGTTCTTTATCGCAGTGTGAAAATGGACTAATACACTGGGTGATGAAATAATCTGTACAACAAACCCCCATGACATGAGTTTACCTATATAACAAACCTTGCACATGTACCACTGAATCTAAAATAAAAGTTAAAAAAAAAAAGGCTTTACATTTTTGTTTATAGCTTGGCTTAGATAATGTTTATCCTGATCTATTCGGTTATCAGGGACAGTTTCAGCTTTCTGAAGGTGTCTACAAAGAAAGCTACTTGCGGAATGTTACTAGAAGAAGAGCTAAATATCTAATCACACTCAGTTCAGGTAAAAGGAAAGAAGGTAGAGAAAAGGAAAAGAGGTGGAGGAATGGTTAGGAATTAAGGTAGGCCAATTCCTACCTTAATTAAGGTAGGTAGGAATTACGGTTAGGAATTAAGGAGGAATGGTTAGGAAATAAGGAGCCAAGAGAAGAGCATACAGTGATGAAGAGGAGAAAGGCGCTTCCTTGAAGTTTAATTTCATGACCTGTTATGGTGGTCAGTATATCTAAGTTGTACAAAACACTTTCTGAGATGTGAAAAAAAAAAGTTGAAAAATAATCACCAAAACTAAAGAAACTAAAGTCATTCTGGTAATAATTTACATGTCAACTATCATTATCTTCTTAAAACAACAACAATAATTAACAGCAAGTTCAATTCCAAACTTATAGGCCCCTCAAATATAAGCTGCTAAATATTTTAGGTGATCTTTCTAGATACCCTGATTTCACAAGATTAATTCGATTTTTTTAAGTTAACTGAACTACTAATAGGTTACCATGACAAAACTTTTTTGAACCTAAATCTTCTTTTAAACAGTAGGCACTGAGCTACATATTTATGCAAAAAGACAACAGCATCACTCACATAAGGTCCTGAATACTCTGTGGAATGGAAATAAGAGGATAGATCTATACTAGAGGTACAAAGCTTCTGACAAAATTCAGTATTTTGTGTGTGGGAGGAGGTAGTTTACATTATCTAGCTAGAAAGCAGCATGCCTAATCTTCATGCAAGTCCTTTCTTAACTCACCATATGATTCCTCTTTAAAAGGATAAATGCCCCTGATAATGTTTAAAAAACCTAGTAAAACAAACCCAAAGTATTAAAAAATTACTAACAAAAGCCCCCTGTACAGGAAGAAGTAGCAGTTTAGCTACAATTCAAAAAAGAAGAACAGGGTCAGGCGTGGTGGCTGACTCCTGTAATCCCAGCACTTTGAGAGGCTGAGGCAGGCAGATCACCTGAGATCAGGAGATCGAGACCAGCCTGGCCAACATGGTGAAACCCCTGTCTCTACTAAAAATACAAAGATTAGCTGGGCGTGGTGGTGGGCACATGTAATCCCAGCTACTCAGGAGGCTGAGGCAGGAAAATTGCTTGAACCCAGGAGGCGGAGGTTGCAGTGAGCTGAGATCATGCCATCGCACTCCAGCCTGGGTGACAAGAGTGAAACTCTGTCTCAAAATATAAAGAAATAAGAAAAACGGAACTATCCTACTGAATGTGATCTATAAAAAAATTTGCCTCAATTTCTACAGAATAATTTCTATGTGCTTCTAAGAGCACACTATGAAAGGACAAGATTGTCCTTCCTTCACATTGATTTCTAAGATAAAAGCATAATCAAAACCAGCTAGTAGTTGTTAATAATAATTGTAGATCTATCATTCAGAAATTAAAAGCTCCAAAACATTTAGATAAAGCCAGTCACAGGAATAATAACAGCTAAAACAAAAAGAATTTAATACCAGCCAGGAAATATGCTAAGCAACACTTACCCTTTAACCTTCCTACCAACGATGAGGCCTAGAGGGGGTCAAGTGTCTTGTTCAAGGTCACGCTGCTAATTAAGTAGCAGAGTCAGACACAGCCATTTCTATTTTATACCAGAAAGGCTATGCTCTTAAGCACTATCGTGTCTCCATCATTTGAGATATAAATGGTATGAATTTATAACGACTTGCTTTTTAAAATTTTTTTTCAAACTTCAAGTTCCAATTTATTAGAATTTCACAAATAAGTCTATGTTCACTAACATCTCATTCTTTGTAATCTTAGCCTTTCACAATATAATCTTTTTATAACCATCTGTGCAAGTATAAGTATATCCATGTATACTTGTTCTTTTGGACAAAATTTCTCACCATACCAGCTTCCCAGCATTCAGATTTTGTTTCTTATAAATAAAATGTTATGCTTAAAAAGTACAGATTTTAGACACTGAAATCTTCTAAATCTGTAAATTCAAAAGCAATTTTAAAAGTTTGACTTTAACTTTTTTCTTCAAAATTTCTCCTTGGAAAGAACAAATCAAAAAATAAGAAGGCAGTGCTTTGAATCATGTATATGTGATATATGTATATAAGGTGAATATATATATATAAATAATGATCCTAAATTTTTCTTCAAATTTCTTTCTTGATAGGTTCTGAATCTTGATTTGATTTTTTTCCCCAGTGGTTGATAATGAATTACACATAAAATGATTCTACTTGGTCTCTTTCCTTAATTTTCTAATACTTTGATTATTCTAATAATAAAGGTTTAAATATAGGTACTATAATTTATTTTCTCCTAAATGCTTTTTGGAAATACCTTGAAAGAAGCTATTGGCTTTTCTAAGTTAGTGTAGTTGGCCTTTATTCTTTTGGTGGGACCATCTCATTGGTTTCTAATGGATGATCAACCAACACTGTAAGATTAGGTGATCTATTCTATTATTACTGAGCTTGCCCTATCTTTGCTTCTCTACACTATTGTATAAGAAAGTAGTAGTATTTTTTCAATGTTTCTGTTCTTCCATTATTGGGGGAATGAGAGAAAGATATCTCTGTAGCAAAAACTTCACATTCCTCCCTATTGTGAAAGGCTGCTCAGAGAGGCAACAATGAATTGTCAGGCCAGCTGAGGATCACTGTCTTGTAAGCAGCCGGGAGCAGCACCACTAGCAAGCACATAAGCTAGTAGATGACACTCCCTCCAAATTTATCTACTGGCAGTGATTTGGGGGAACCCAAATAGTCATAGATCTACAGCATCCTGAGAACCAGGCAGAACAGGTAATGTGGCCCTTCCACAAACAATAAGCCCGTTCTTCAGGAGTCAGAAAACAGCTCATCCTTGTTTTCTGTGACTGTAGGCCTCTTTCCAACCAGGAAGGCTGCTAAACCCAACAAATATCTTGTTACCCAACATGAGACTAAAATTAAATTAGTTTTTTTGATACAAAATAAAATGCAATAGCTCAGTTCAATCCATACACCAGTAGTCCTCAAAATTTGTGAACAGTAGAGCAAAAGAATCTACAGTCCATGGCCAAGGAAAGAAATCTTAATTAAGTATTACCTATAGTGACATCAGGGGAATCTTACATTGTTTGACTTCCCTGACCACATGCCTCAGTTCCCATACTAAACGGTATGGTAGAGTCTTAACTCTCCAACTCAGATACTTTATCACACAGTATCTGTCTGAAAAACTGATGTGTGGTAAATTTATCTGCATTTTAAATCGCTTTTATTTCAGAGCTCACTGAACAAATAAACTATGGGGAAAAAAAGTAACAAAAAATCTAAAATGGAATGGAATCTGAAATGTAATATGAAAACTTTCTTATTTATCTACAAAATATACACTGACTATTGAAAAACACCCCCACTCAGATGTAAAGGTAGCAATGCAATCACCAGGAGTAACTAGAACTTGAGCACTGAAAAACTTTAGAGGAGCCTGAAAATTCAAGAAGTAAACAAAGGCTTGCTGTTAGTCCATCCATGCCTTTACAAGAATTAGAAAAAGTCCCCTAACTCCTAAGGTCCCAGCCCTGCCCCAAGGCACAGGGTTCAGTGAATAGAACAGACACTAGAAATTAGACTCCATCCATCCTCTCAGCTAGGCTCCTCAGCAGCGAATAGCCCATCCAACCATACTTGGAATTCCTCAGTTAAAGCACTTAAGTCTAAAAACATTAATTTTAGTAGATATATGACATATATTCTTTCCTTCTTCCCTCCTTCTCACTCCCTCTCTTTCTCATTTCTATTCTTTTTTCTGTGAGCAGGGTAATGGAAAGGATACACATTTGTCTCTTTCTTGAACATAATCAAAATTGAAAACAATTCACACAGTATAAAGGAAGAAGCTGAAAGGAATACTCTCCATCAGCTATTTGATGAAACTCCCCTTCATATTTATATCTGAGACTGAAACCACACTGAAAAAATATTTTAAACACATATTATAACATATATAATACTGTGTATTATAAATATAATAATCACATATTATACATATTATATAAGGAGAAGATACAGAGAGCTAGTATTCTTTTTAAAAACACATTTCTGTTTACCTAGTGATTTTGGTAGCAGATTCTTCACAAATTCTGCATGATCCCCCACGTGCAGTATGCTGTAGACGCTCGTATTCATTAATTCCTCCTGATTGTAACCTAAGTAGCTGGTTACATTCTCTGACACAAATACAATTCTCCCTTCACAGTTCACAACAAAGAAAAATCCATCCAAAGCCTGCAAAACCAAAAGAAAAAAATGGTTTGGAGGTTGAAAGATAAAAGAAAAATTAAACTATACATTTTTCTATTAAAAAAGAGATCAGAAATATATGTCAAGACCTGGTCTCTGTCCTCAAGGAAATTGTGATACGCAGGAGAGAGAGACATAAACATAATAAAATATCAGTGATAAAATGCAGATCAGAGACATACACAAAATAGTCCATAAGCACACAGAAGGATGCCTAATTTGGGATCAGGGTGGGGGTCAAAGAAAGGTACAGACCCCTACCTAACATATAAAAGGCATAGTTGGGGAGGAAGAGGATTGAAGGAAGAACATTCCAGGAAGTGGAGAGAGCATAGCACAAAAAGAAAACGAACAGGCAGTTTGCAGCTGCTGGAGTATATGGTACAAGGCGAGTCAGCAGACGTGGACAGGAGCCAAATCACAGGGGCTTCCTATGCACTGAGATGGAGCCAGGGGTCTCCAAAAGAAGACATATGCGTCCTACGGGGCATATAATATCCACAAGGGAGCACGGGAAAAGTTAGAACCTCTATGTATATTGTAATCTAAAACATAATAAAGACATGAAGCTTAAGCATATTAACACTATGGTGCCTGACTCGGTGCAGACAGTCACATATCACACAAACCCTGGTATCCCGAGGAAGAGCCAGAATGCAGAGGTTGACTGTGGCACCTTACTTATTTGTAATCTTTTCATTTATTGCAACATGTTGCAGCTTACTTGCTGCAGAATATATATAAGCAATAAAATCAAGATCCTGAAAAAATAGAACATTTACAGAATTTTGTAACAAAATGTAAAATGACCATAAAAATCCTTTGGATCATACAGGGTCTGCTGGTTATCTACGGCGAAATTAAAAGACCTATCTAACAATGCTGACGGGTTACTCATTTTTCCTTTTAAAAAAGGCCACGGGGCCGGGCGCAGTGTCTCACGCCTGTAATCCCAGCATTTTGGGAGGCTGAGGCGGGTGGATCACGAGGTCAAGAGATGGAGACCATCCTGGCCAACATGGTGAAACCCCGTCTCTACTAAAAATACAAAAAATTAGCCAAGTGTGGTAGCGGACGCCTGTAGTCCCAGTTACTTGGGAGGCTGAGGCAGGAGAACGGTGTGAACCCGGGAGGCGGAGCTTGCAGTGAGCCGAGATCGCGCCACTGCACTCCAGCCTGGGCGACAGAGCAAGACTCCAAGACTCCGTCTCAAAAAAAAAAAAAAGGCCAGGGTACCAAGTTTGCTGTCTAGCAGATACTCTCCAAAAAGTAAACAAATTTTTTTTCCTTCAGGATTAAGATGAAATTTTAACAATGAATAAAAAGTAAACTGCTTTTTAAAAAGACACTAATGCTATAGAGATAGCATGTGAAAATGGATGTTTGGAAGTGTTACCACTGTTACAATTTTGTTCCTGAAAATGACGTGATACTGAAAATGTCGTGACACTGAAAATGACGTGATACTGAAAATGACCTGAATAGCTTGTATAATTTATCTTATCTCATCAGTTTAAAATCTTAGAGCATTTTCTGTTGAAAAATCTTCCAATTAGATTCTCAGTGGGCTTTGGCCCTTTTTTTCTTTTCCTTTTTTTTGAGAGAGTGCAGTGGCACAATCTTGGCCCACTGCAACCTCTGCTTCCTGGATTCAAGTGATACTCCTGCTTCAGCCTCCCACGTAGCTGGGATTACAGGCATGTGCCACCATGCCCCGCTGATTTCTGTATTTTTAGTAGAGATGGGGTTTTACCATGTTGGCCAGGTTGGTCTTAAACTCCTGACCTCAGGTGATCCACCTACCTTGGCCTCCCAAAGTGCTGGGATTACAGGCATGGGCCTCCATGCCCAGCCCTATTTTTTTTTTTTTTTATGTGAAAATGCAACATCTTCTGATGTTTGGAAGAATCATTTTTTTTAAAATCAAGGAAACTGGAAGGTCAATAAAAACCTCTGCACAGTTTGTGGGTAGGATTTAAAAATGACTATCGTAATTTAGTAAACACATCCAATGATATACTTTTCCATTTGCCTCTACCTTATTTTTGAGAGGTGCATTTTTCAGCTAAGATGATTGTTTTTTAATTGAGAAAAACTAATATATATTTATGGTATATGTTTTCAAATATGTATACATTGTAGAATGGCCAAATCAAGCTAATGAACATAAGCACTACCTCATATACTTATCATTTTTTTTGTGGTGAAAACACTTAAAAGCTCTCTCTTTGCAATTTTCAGGTATAAAATAATTGTTATTAATTACAGTCACCATAATGTTCAATAGATCTCTTGAACTTATTCTTCCCATCTAATTGAAAGGTTTTCATCTTTTGACCAACATCCCTCCAATCCCCCCAACCCTTCACGCAGCCCCTGGTAACCACCATTCTACTCTCTCCTATGAGTTTGACTTTTTTAGATCCCACATATAAGTGAGATCATGTGGTATCTGTCTTTCTGCGTCTGGCTTTTAATTAACATAATGTCTTCTAGGTTCATACATATTGTGGCAGATGACAGGATTTCCTTTTTAAAGGCTGAATAGTATTCCGCTCTGTGTATACACAGCATTTTCTTAATCCATTCATCCATTTTTGGACACTTAGGTTGATGCAAATTAAAACCACGATGAGATATCACTTCATATCTGTTAAGCGTAGGTGAGGATGTGAAGAAAAGAGAACATCTATTATGGGAAGTAGTAGGGAGGTTCCTCAAAAAATTAAAAATAGAACTACCATATGATCCAGTAATCCCAGTACTGGGTATATATCCAAAGGAAATGAAATCAGTATGTCAAAGAGATGTCTGCACTCCCATGTTCACTGCAGCATTATTCACAATAGCCAAGATATGAGGATCAAGCTAAGTGTCTGCCAACAGATGAATGGACAAGATTATTTAAACCAAATATTAAAATAAATGAAATTTAGTAATACATCTCCATTATCACTCCATCACAAAGAATATAACCAAGATTTAAAACAAGATTGAAGCACAACCCATTGTTCTCATTTAAAATATTGCTAATATTTTCTTTAGCAAGAACAAAAAGGAATAAAGCTATTTTTATTCTACCCGATCGCCGTGACTTACTTAGTCCATAATGCAAAGGAGATAGGGACGTGATTAATAATCTTTAAAATCTCAACACTAGATAAACTCTTTTTTAAAATATTTTGGGTTTAGATGAGCACAGGAAAGTACACTCATATCTAAATTGGGTTTATAAAACCCCTTAGATTAGCTATAAATCTCATAATAGGTGATCAATGTCCATTTACTTACCTTGAAGTTTATATAAAAATAGAAATAATTTAAAAACAGATTTATTTTTCAAAAATAGACCTGAAACTTCTTTAAAAATGTTCTTTGCATCAGTGTAAATACAATTTAACTTGCTTTGTATTATAAATATATACTTATAAAGATTAAAATGTAAAAATGAGGTTGATAGTGGAAGACCTGCCAGAATTCCACCCTCAAGAGACTAGTAACATTTCAGGGAATAATTTTTGAGACTATTCCTATGAATATAGAAGCATCTCTATTTTCTAAAAGTATATCTGGTTAATATAATCTGTTATTACTTGTTCTTGTTCTACAAGTTTCCCTCATATGTTGTTTATCTAATTAACTTCAAAGTGTGCTCCTGGAAAGGAATCTTCCTATTCCTCCAAGTCCTGACAGCTGGTTTTATGTTGTACTGCATACAGAGAAGACAACAAATGCCTATGCATTCAGTAATCAATCTGAGAACTTTTCCAAACTCTGCCCAGGATGTCATCCTTTGAAGAAGACCACCGTGTGTCACACGGAAGGGTTCACATTAGCCAAGGCTTCTCACAGGGCCCTGGCTTTAAATGAGACTACCAAAGTGACTGTGATGGGACAAAGTTCCGGGAATAAAAGACATCACCCAAAACTATAAAAACCCTAGAAGAATATCTAGGCAATACCATTCAGTACATAGGCACGGGCAGAGATTTCATGATGAAAATGCCAAAAGCAACTGCAACAAAAGCAAAAATTAACAAATAGGATCTAATTAAACTCAAGAGCTTCTGCACAGCAAAAGAAACTATCATCAGAGTGAACAACCTAAAGAATGGGATAAAATTTTTGCAATCTATCCATCTGACAAAGGTCTAATATCCAGTCTACAAGGAACTTAAACAAATTTACAAGAAAAAACCAAACAACCCCATTAAAAAGCAGGCAAATGGCATGAACAGACACTTCTCAAAAGAAAACATTCATGCAGCCAACAAACATATCAAAAGCTCAACATCACTGATCATTAGAGAGATGCAAATCAAAACCACAATGAGATACCATTTCATGCCAGTCAGAGTGGTGATTATTAAAAAGTCAAAAAACAATAGATGCTGGCAAGGTTGCAGAGAAAAAGGAATGCTTTTACACTGTTGGTGGGAGTATAAATTAGTTTAACCATTGTGGAAGGCAGTGTGGTGATTCCTCAAAGATTTAGAGGCAGAAATACCATATGACCCAGCAATCCCATTACTGAGTATATATCCAAAGAGACATAAATCATTCTGTTATAAAGATACATGCACATGTATGTTCATCACAGCACTATTCACAATAGCAAAGGCCTGGAATCAACCTAAATGCCCATCAATGATAGACTGGATAAAGAAAATGTGGTACATATACACCATGGAATACTATGTAGCCATAAAAAGGGATGAGATCATGGTCCTTTGCAGGGACATGGATGGAGTTGGAAGCTGTTATTCTCAGCAAATTAATGCAGGAACATCAAACCAAATGCTGCATGTTCTCACTTATAAGTGGGAGCTGAACAATGAGAACACATGGACACATGGCAGAGGGAACAACACACACTGAGGCCTGTTGGGGGCAGGGGTGGCAGGAGGGGGAGTATGAGGAAGAATAGCTAATGGATGCTGGGCTTAATACCTAGGTGATGGGTTGATCTATGCAGCAAACTACCATGGCACACATTTAGCTATGTAACAAACCTGCACATCCTACACATGTACCCCGGAACTTAAAAGTTGAAGAAAAAAAAAAGTGTGGCACATCCTCATTCTCTCACTCTTTCTCTTTCCTGCCGCCTGGTGAAGAACATACTTGCTTCTCCTTTGCCTTCTGCTGTAATTGTAAATTTCCTGAGGCTTCCCTAGCCATGTGGAACTGTAAGTCAATTAAACCTCTTTCCAGCCAGGCATGGTAACTTATGCCTGTAATCCCAGCACTTTGGGAGGCCAACCGGGGTGGATCATGTGAGGCCAGGAGTTCGAGACCAGACTGGCCAACATGGCGAAACCCCATTTCTACTAAAAATACAAAAATTAGCCGGGCATGGTGGTACATGCCTGTAGTCCCAGGTACTTGGGAGGCTGAGGCACAAGAATTGCTTAAACCCAAGAGGTGGAGGTTACAGTAATCCGAGATTGTGTCACTGCATTCCAGCCTGGGTGACAGACCAAGACTCTCTCAAAAAACAAAACCAACCAACCAAACAAAAACATCCCTCTTTCCTTTATAAATTACCCAGTCTCAGGTTTGTTTTTTTTGTTTGTTTGTTTTTTTGTTTTTGAGACAGGGTCTTGCTCTGTCACCCAGGCTGGAGTGCAGTGGCGTGATCTTGGCTCACTGGAACCTCTGCCTCCCGGGTTCAAGAGATTCTCCTGTGTCAGCCTCCTGAGTAGCTGGGATTACAGGCATGTGCCACCATGCCAGGCTGATTTTTGTATTTTTAGTTGAGACGGGGTTTCACCATGTTGGCCAGGCTGGTCTCAAACTCCTGACCTCAAGTGATCCGCCTGCCGTGGCCTCCCAAAGTGCTGGGATTACAGGTGTGAGCCACCATGCCTGGCCCCAAATCAGGTATTCTTTATAGCAGTGTGAAAACTGACTAATATACTCTCCCTGTTTGTCAGGGATACCAGCTGTAGGTTTAGTCTCTTTACATAATCACATATTTCTCAGAGGTTTTGTTCATTCTTTTTTATTCTTTTTTCTTTATTTCTGAGTTGACCAGTTAACTGGTCTTCGAGCTCTGAGATTCCTTCCTCAGCTTGGTCGATTCTGTCATTAATATTTCCAATTATGAAATTTTTCTTGTAGTGAGTTTTTCAGTTTTATCAGATCAGTTTGGTTCTTTCTTAAAATACCTGTTTTATCTTTAATCTCTAATATCATTTTACTGGATTCCTAAGATTCCTTGGATTGGGTTTCAACTTTCTCCTGAATCTCAATGATCTTTGTTGCCATCCAGATTCTGAATTCTTAGTCTGTCATTTGAGTCATTTCAGCCTGGTTACAAACCATGGCTGGGGAGTTAGTGCAGTTGTTTGGAGGTTAAGAAAACACTCTGGCTTTTTGCGTTTCCAGAGTTCTTACTGGTTCTTTCGCATCTGATGCTCCTTTAATGTTCAAAGGTGCTGTCCTTTCAATGGAGCTTTTTGCTTTTATATTCTTTGATGCCCTTGGTTTTGCCTGTGGTATAAGTTGGGTTCAGCTGAAAAATATGAAATACTTCACAAATTTATGTGTCATCTTTGTGCAGAGGCCATGATAATCTTCTCTGTATTGTTCCTATTTTAGTATATGTGCTGCCAAAGTGAGCACCACATCCAAGTTTTGATTTCTTTCCAGAATGCTTATGAAAAGGGAGCACAAGCAACTCTCCTCCCCAAGTCATGTCTATGATTATGGCAACAAATCTGGGACGGATAGTACAAAAGGAACTATCCCAGGTCACATGAGTAAACTGGATGTTATCATAGCACTGGTCATTTTTCATTGCTGTTCCAAAACTTGAGGTGACCCCACTGCCACAGAAGTCTGCTGAGAAACCCCAAAATACCTCCAACCTCCAAAGTGAGGCCACTCTAGGAAAATTGGAAATCTTTAAAAGGCAGCAGGATGTATTGAAAGAGAAGCTTGGAAGACAGATCTGGGCTAAGGATAGACCTTTGTGATTCACAGGTACATATAGTAATCATTTGGGTCTCTTGTTTATTTTTTACTTATTTATTAATTTATTTATTTTGAGACAGAGTCTCACTCTGTTGCGCAGGCTGGAGTGCAATGGTGCAATCTCAGCTCACTGCAACCTCTGCCTCACAGGTTCACGTGATTCTCCTGCCTCAGCCTCCTGAGTAGCTGGGATTACAGGCGCTCACCACCATGCCTGGCTAATTTTTATATTTTTAGTAGAGATGGGATTTTGCCATCTTGGCCAGGCTGCTCTTGAACTCCTGACCTCAAGTGATCCACCCGCCTTGGCTTCCCAAAGTGCTGGGATTATAGGCGTGATGCACCGCGCCCGGACTGTTTATTTGTTTTTAACTACGATCATCTTTTCCCCTAGTAAAGAATACTCGGATTTCCTCTGGGAAATTTTCTTCCCCACTACACAAAGCCTTATGGGATTCTTAATCAGGCCATTGGGAGACTTCCTCCTCAAATGTGAATCTTGAGAATAATTACAAAAAGCTAAACATAGCAGGAGTACACTCATTCTAGCAGCAGGGCACTGCCCAGATGGTTCTTTCTAAGAGACCATTAACAAAGCTTTTGGTTTCTAGCCTCCTTAAGATATTTTGATTTCATCCCATTTCCAAGCATGGTTCTATGATATCCAAATAGCATTCCAATAAATTCATATTTGCTTAGTCAGAGTTGATTTCTATTGCTTCAAATCAGAGAAATGCAACTGATTTCATATATGTAATTCACATATATGTGTATATGTTATATAGACAAAGACACAGATAAACCTTCCCAGTAAATGTGCACAGAATTAAAAAAGGGAAAGAGCCAAGGCTAGACTCCCAGGGGATACTAACATTTAAGAGGCAATTAAGGAAAGAAATCTGAGAAAAAGGCTGAGGAGTAACCAGAGGGGTAGAGAAAGAACACTGTGAAAGGGGCCATGGAATGTGTAAGGTAGTGGGAATGAGTGGTCAGTAAGTGTCAAAAGCCACAAAGAAATGTAGGGAATGGTGCAAAGCAAGTTAAGGAAGCTAGAATGCATGTGCAAGATATAGTGAGACCTCTCTGAAGCAGTTTTCTTATGGACCAATGGAAACAGGAGGGTTAGAGTCAGATAATGCAGAACTCTGACCAGCAGGCAGAGGAATTTTAGACAGCAAAGGGAGGAAATGAGCTTAAAAAAAAATGCCCATACTGGACTTAATGAGTACTAACTATGTATAAAGTACTCTGCTAAGAAATTGTGTCACTTAATTTTTAAAATAATTCCATGATGTAGATATCCAGTGTCTAACACACTGTAGGTATTCAACAAATCTTTGTTGAATAAATACATTATAATATTACCCTCTCATTAGATGTGCGAAAATTTCTTCTAGTACCTTCATTCTTTACCCGTGCTACCTTTATTTTATATTTTTAAAAAGAGAAATAGGCCGGGCGCAGTGGCTCACGCCTGTAATCCCAGCACTTTGGGAGGCCGAGGTGGGCGGATCACGACGTCAGGAGATCGAGACCATCCTGGCTAACACGGTGAAACACCGTCTCTACTAAAAATACAAAAAAATTAGCCAGGCGTGGTAGCAGGCGCCTGTAGTCCCAGCTACTCAGGAGGCTGAGGCAGGAGAATGTCATGAACCGGGGAGGCGGAGCTTGCAGTGAACCGAGACCACACCACTGCACTCCAGCATGGGCCACAAAGCGAGACTCCGTCTCAAAAAAAAAAAAAGGGGTACCCAAGGGCCATAAATAAGTATATATAATTAGACCTAGAGATAGAAATATATACACACACACACACACACACACACACACATACATACATATGTCTTTAAACATTCATGTAGGAGAGAAAGCATTTAAAGTAATGAGGATGCTTGGAAACAAGACATCTATATTGAGAATGCAGGGAGTAAAGATTAGATAGAAAATGCAGGGGTGAAAATTACACAGTAATTACAAAGCCATTCAAATTTAAAAGTTCTTCACATTACAAAGTTTGACAGTTAAAATAGTAATTCTCTTAGAATGTTTATATAAACAATTTAAACATTTTTATTCAGAAAACTGCAGAAAATCACGTACTGCAATAAACTGTGGGATCCTTCATTCAAAAGTAAAATTCTATGGTATACATATAGATAACACTAGCTAGCTAAGTAAATCTAATATTAATATTTTATTTTCCCAACTAGGCCTAACCACCACAGAAATAAAAGGCAAAGCCATATAATAAGCTTCAAGTTTTCCATCTCACTGCTTAGAATGCCTTCATGAAAATTTCTCATGTTCATTATTCACTTTTGATTCTGAAACAGTAACAACTGTCAAATAGTTCTCATAATAAAATAATTATAAAAAGTTCTTTACTTTGTTTTATAATTTATTAACTGGATATAAGGCATTTAAAAAAGAAAAAACCAAACTGGCTACAACAAAGATTTTAATCACTTTCTGAGTCAATGAAGACACCTACCTCCAAAAGAAGAGGTCCCAAGGATTCCTTTTCTATCACTCCTTGACTACTTGATGAGATGTCTGATTTCTGTACATCGTCATCAGTTGTTGATTTCTCTATAATAAAGAAACTTAAAAAAATCACATATCTGAAAAGAGCTTATTTCCATAAAGTCAAGTTTACGAAGACATAGATCCACCAAATTTCAAATTCAAATAACATTTAGTCAGTATCTAGGCACTTTCACACTAATCTTAATTATACTCATTTTATGGATCATAAAATGGAACATCACAAAGGTTAAGTAATGTGCCTGAAAACATACAACTAATACATGGTAGCATGAACATTTGAATACTACATCCAGTGTTTCAACAATGAGAAAAATGCTATAAATATATTGCCTTTTTAAAAAGTCCATACCAGAAGTTTTGAGAAATGGGTAAGTTGTAAAAGAAAAATTATTTCAAGTTTTCTCTTTCTTTTTCTGATTTGATCAAGTGCCATTGAAGAGAGAATGAAAATATGATTTTTCCTTTTGAGAGCCTGCATGAACTCACTAACATTTCACATTCGTGCCATGATGCTCTGATTGATAAAACTGAAACTGCTAAGTAATTGGGAGTTCTTTTGTGAGGTGATGTTGCATATCCCATCATCTTAAAGCAGAATCATATTTAAATAATAAAAGTTTCTGATCTGTCAGACTAGTTAACCAAAAGCCAAATATGGTATTATTGAGCACAGAAATTCATATTTTCACTTTAAAACAGGAAGTATTTCCGGGTTGGGTGCAGTGCCCCAAGCCTGTAATCTCAGTGCTTTGGGAGGCAGAGGTGGGAGGACTGCTTGAGGCCAGGAGTTTGAGAACAGCCTGGGCAACATAGCGAGTCCTTTATTTTTACAAAAAATTTTAAAAATTAGCTAGGTGTGGTGGTGCATGCTTGTAATCCTAGCTACTCAGGAGGGTGAGGTAGGAGGATCGCTTAAGCCCAAGAATTTGAGGCAGCGGTGGGCTATAATTGTGCCACTGCACTCCAGCCTGGGTGTCAGGATGAGACCATGTCTCAAAAACAAGAAGAAGGATTTCAAGTATTCCAAAAAATACAGAAAATTATACAGCACATATTAATATAGCCACCATTCGGTATTCACAGATGTTAACGTCATTTGCCTCAGATCTTTCCTTTTTAAATAAATACATGTTGCAAATACAGAGAAAGCCCTGCCCTCCCTCCTCTGTCCCTTTTTTCAGAAGTAACCATTATTCTGAGGTTGCCATAATCATTTTAAGCATTTTTTTATACTTTTACTACATATGTATGATTTCATAAACAATATATTGTTATATATATAAACATATATATAAACAATGTTATTGTTTCATGTTTTAAGGTTTACATAAATGTATAGTTATATATACCATTAGTCCTCCACATCCATGGATTCTACTGACCACAGATCAAAAATATTTGAAAATGAATTGTGTCTGTGCTGAATACATATAGATTTTTTCATCATTATTCCCTAAACAATACAGTACAACAACTATTTACATAGCCTTTACATTGTAGTAAGTATTTTAATAGGTAATGTAGAGATTATTTAAAAGTACATGGGCCAGGCAAGGTGGCTCACGTCTGTAATCCCAGCACTTTGGGAAGATGATCAGATGGGCAGATCATCTGAGGTCAGGAGTTGGAGACCAGCCTGGCCAACATGGTGAAATCCTATCTCTAATAAAAATACAAAAATTAGCCGGGCGTGGTGGCACATGTCTGTAATCTCAGCTACTCAGGAGGCTGAGGTACAATAATTGCTTGGACCTGGGAGGCAGAGGTTGCAGTGAGCCGAGATCCCGCAACTGCACTCCAGCCTGGGTGACAGAGTGAGACCCTCTCTTAAAAAAGTACATGACAGGATCAATTATAAGCAAATACTATGACATTTTATCTTATTTTTAAATTTTGCTTGTTTTATTTTATTTTAAGAGACAGGGATCTTGCTATGTTGCCCAGGCTAGCCCTAAACTCCTAAATTCAAGCAATCTTCTAGCCTCAGCCTTCCAGGTAGCTGGGATTACAGACATGCACCACTGCCCCTGGCTACTACACCATTTTATATCAGGGACTTGAGCATACTCAGATTTTAGTATCAGTGGGAGGTCATGGAACCAATCCCCCACACATACCAAGGGACAATTGTACAAACTTTTTCAACTTACTTTTTCCACTCAATATTATGTTTGAGATTTAACCACATTGATACATGTAGGTTTGATTCATTCATTTTAACTGCTGTTAAGAGTATTATATTATATAAATAATCTGCAGTGGATTTCTATTCCCCTACTGGTAGGTCTTTTGATAACTACAGTGCTATAATAAACTATTTTTGGTATTTCCTCTTTTGTACACATGTCACAGTTTCTTCAGGATAAATACTAGAGTGAAATTTCAGGATCATAAGGTCTGCGTAACTTATATCACTAGGTATTGACAAACTGCTCTCCAAAGAGGTTGTAACATTGGTTTTGCTCTTCTGCATCCTCACTGAAAAACAATATCATAGTTTTTAATTTTTGCAAACCTATGGTGTAAAATGTTATCTCACATACTATTTATAATAATGGCTTTCTTGAGCTATAATTTACACAACACGCAATTAACTCATTTAAGGCACACAATTCAATGATTTTTAGTATATTCACAGAATTGTGCAACCACTGTCACAACCAATTTTAGAATATTCTCATCACCTCCCAAAAAACTCCATTCCCATTACCAGTCACTCCCCATTTTTCCAATACCCCTAAGTCTGAGGCATCTACCAATTTATTTTTTGTCTCAATGAATTTGCCTTTTTTGGACATTTCCTATAAATGGAATCATACAATATGTGGTCATATGTGACTCGGCTTCTTCTTTGGCTTAGCATGTTTTCAGGGTTCAACCATGTTGAATTATTTATCAGTACTTTATTCCTTTTTATTGCCTAATAATAGTCCTTCATAGTGGTATATGTCCTTTTATATATCTATTCATCAGCTGATGGACGTATGGGTAGTTTCTACTTTTCAGCTATTTGTGATAATGTTTTTGTGAACATTCATGTACAAATTTTTTGTATGGACAGGTTTTCATTTCTCTTGGGGATACACCTAGAACTGGAATTATTGGGTCATATGATAGCTAGCTCTATGTTCAACCCCAAACTCTCCTCCAGTTGAGAAACTGTTGGACTGTTTTCCAACGTGGCTCCATCATTTTCCATTCCCATCAGAAGTATGTGTGGCTTTCAATTTCTCACCCACACTTGTTATTACCTTTTTCTGTTTTTTTTCCTAAGACACTCCTTGCTCTGTTGCTGAGGATGGAGTGCAGTGGCACAATCACAGCTCATTGCAACCTCAAACTCCTAGGCTCAAGCAATCCTCCCACCTTGGTCTCCCGAATAGTTGGGACTACAGGGATGCACCACTGTGCCTGGGTAATTTTTTATTTTTTTGTAGACAGAGGGTCTTGCTATGTTGTCCAGGCTGGTCTCAAACTCCTGGGCTCAAGCGATCTTCTCACCTTGGCCTCCCAAAGTGCTGGGATTACAGGCGTGAGCCACAGCACCCAGCCTTATCTTTTTGATTATAGCCATCTTAGTGAGTGTGAAATGGTATGTGACTTTGATTCTAGTTTGCATTTCCCTAATGGCTAATGATATTGGGCATCTTTTTCATGTGCTTGTTGGCCATTTGTACATTTTCTTTGGAGAAATGTCTATTCAGGGTCTTTATTTTTAAATTATGTTATCTTTTTATTATTATGGTGCAGGAGTTTCTCATTTTAAGATACATTTCCTTCATTATTTCATGTGTTTTATTACATGAGGGTAAGAAAGGATTTTGTTTGTAAGCAAGTTCTAAAAAACAAACTATCAAGTTCAAGTAGATTAAATAATTTTGTGTGACGTGCAAAATATCTAACATTTTAGGGAAAACCTAAGGTAGGAATGGCTATGTGACTAGTTTCTGGCCTAACGGAACGTGAACAGAAGTGACATGCAATTTCTGGGTCTTATCTGTAATGGAAAAGAAGCATGCCTTCTTGTTTTTTTCTTTCTCCTTCTTGTTAGCTGGGACATGGACAAGGGGGCCATGTCTAACAACATGGATAATGGCAATACCCTAGGAATGGCAGAGCCAAAAAGATGGAAGGAGTCAATCCCTCACACCTTCCTAGACCATCTTTTTAAAACCATTGTATTTTGGGTGTGTTGTTATACTAACCTAGCCTATATCCTAATATGCTTTATATTTCTTAGTAACATGCTAATTTGCTATAACCTGATTTTGTCCATGTTAGACATAACCTACTGACATGCTACCATGAAAGGTAAATAATTTATTTACACCAACCTGCTATACAAATTACCCCTCCTCTCTTACTTTCAGTATAGTTTTAACAATTTTTTGCGTAACCAATATTTAATATATATGTCACTAGGGTCATATAAATATACTTTATAAGGGAGCCGATGTGTGTGTTATAACTTACATTTCTTTTTTTATATTTAGTGTTTCAGATCTTACGTATAGTTTAATTCAACCCTAAACTCCCCTCCAGAGCTGAAAAATTCATCTCGATTCAGTCAGTTAGCAGATACTCTTATGCGTTCCTTTTTTTTTTCCCTATGGAAATGTTCCCTAGAGTCCTCTATCCACCTGCTCCAACTAGGACTGGCTATTTTCTAGGTTGCTGCACAACTGTAATCCTGGGTCTCCTTTTACCTTTCTTTGTGTTAAGATTCCATGGTTTCCCTGGATTAAGATCCTATGCCCTTCTTTCTAGCTTTACTATCTTGGATTGGATAGAGATTTCTGAAACAGGTATAACTGGAGGTAATACCTTTGAGACTCTGAATGTCTGAGCATGTCTATTTGGCACTCATAACTTCAACTGGATGAACACAGAATTCTGGGTCTAGAATTCTAGTTTTCAATGTTGTTATTTAGAAATCTGAACCTATTCTGAAAGCAATCTAGTATGTGTGAGACCTGTTTTTTCTTCTCTCTTGTTTATCTCCCTGGTGTTCTGAAATGTCACTAAATTGTGCATTGGTATAAGTTACTTTATCTTTCTTTTACAACAACTGTGCTGGGCACTACATGAGGGCTTTCAATCCGGAAACTAATATACTTCTAGTTCTGAGAACATTATTTTTGCATTATTTCTCTTATCATTTATTCCCTTCCATTTGTTCTATTCTCTTTTTCTGGGATTAATCATATGTTAGACTTCCTGAACTAATCCTATAAGTTTCTTATTTTTTCTCTCATTTTCCATTGCTTATTATCTAAGAGATTTCTTCAAATCACATCCCTTCATCCAGTCATTCAACAAATATGCATTGAAAGCCTACTATGTAGCCAAGTGCTGTTTTAGGTACTGAGGATATAGTCGTGAACAAACAAAATCGCTTGCCCTCGTGGAACTCTAGTGGGGGCAGGCAAATAATATATAAAGTATGTCATATGTCAGATGTAAAAAGTACTGTGGGGAAAATAAGGAAGGTATAAAAAGATGCATAGATTTTTTTTTCTGTTTTTAAAAATATTTCAAATAGGTTAGTTAGGAACAACTTTACTCAGAAGACGTATTTGAGCAAAGACATGAAAGAGGTGAATAAAGCATGTGGATATCTAGAGACAGAGCATTCCAGACAGAAGGAACAGCAACTGTAAATAGCAGGGGCAGAGTGTGCCTGCCACTGGTCAGGGCAGAGAGTGTGAGGAAACAAAGGTAAAGAAGTAAAATTTTTTCCAGCTATCCTGTTTCTAAGTTCCAAAAGCTATTTCTTCTTTTGAATATTTCATTTTATAGGACTTATTCTCATCTTTTGATGAAATACCTTCCCTCATGTCTCCCAGGGACTGGTATCTTTTTAAGTTTTCTTCAGTTCCCTGCACTGTTTCTGCTTCCTCTGAGTTCCCTTTTTTCTGTTTGTTTGCTTGGTTTGCTCTCTTTTATATTACAGGCTTTCCCCCAATACCTGGCTTTTTGTTCACATTAAATAGTTGACTGGCAGTTAGGTGAGGAGTGGGGGCAAGATAAGGAATGAATTTTTTCATTTGAGGATCACCCCCACATGACTTCATCTTCCGACTGCTCAGTTTACCCAGAGGTATACTGCCACCCCCAATTTAGGGAGTAGGAGCCAGGCTGTTAGTGTTTCGAGACCAAGCAGGGAAGGGGCAGAGAGCCTCTTGCTAGTGCTCCTCTCTGCAGTTTTACAGTACGGTTTCTCCTGTTTGCTAAATCAGTTGTCACTAGACTATCTGTTTTCCAGCTTCTAAAATCTTAAAATTATAAAACTTTAATGCTAATAATCTGAAGTTCTTTGGGGTTAGTCCTTCTGTTTGTTATTTGTGCTGTTACTCTAGATTATTTCCTCATATGTTAAATAACTTTGCAGTGTAAAATCACCCTCAGAAGCACTTTTTCTGTGGCACTCCCATGGGGCCAGCTTGTGGGATTGTTTCTTCAAAGTGCTTTGCCTTTATTTCTGGTAGGCAACCAAGGAGTTTGATGGTATGGGGTTCCAGTAAATATAGGTAGTAAAAATATGAAGCTTAAAAATACACCAGCCTGGCCAACATGGTGCAACCCCATCTCTACTAAAAATACAAAAATTAGCTGGGCATAGTGGCGCGCACTTGTAATCCCAGCTACTTGGGAGGCTGAGGCAGGAGAATTGCTTGAACCCAGGAGGTAGAGGTTGCAGCGAGCAGAGATCGCACCACTGCACTCCAGCCTGTGACAGAATGAGGATCCATCTCAAAAAAAAAAAAAATCCGGGTTTTTTCAGAGAAGAGCCCAGGTAGAGACAAACTTCCTCATATAAGTGGAGATTTTTCTCTTCATGGAGTTACTGTCCTAAAGAACTCTATGCTAGGGCCTCAGGTCCAACTCCACAACTTGTGTCTTCTGACTCAATCCCCTATGATACTGAGTCCCATAATCTCCTAAAGCAACCAGTTTTTGAGTTAACTTAATAAGACACTTTGTTATAACAAGAAGATTCTCAGGTTCACTTTCTAAAATAAACAGCATCTTAACAAAGACATTTCTTTATAAAATTATAATGTTCAATATAATTTTTTAATAATAAAAAAGTAGGCCAGGTGCGGTGGCTCACGCCTGTAATCCCAGCACTTTGGGAGGCTGAGGTGGGCGGATCACGAGGTCAGGAGATTGAGACCATCCTGGCTAACATGGTGAAACCCCGTCTCTACTAAAAAAATACAAAAAGATCAGCCAGGTATAGTGGCAGG
The DNA here is from genome assembly GCF_000001405.40 of Homo sapiens. Taxonomy (NCBI): domain Eukaryota; kingdom Metazoa; phylum Chordata; class Mammalia; order Primates; family Hominidae; genus Homo; species Homo sapiens. Next base: position 24,666,157 of record NC_000002.12, on the reverse strand, counting down.
CGCCTGTAGTCCCAGCTACTTGGGAGGCTGAGGCAGGAGAATGGTGTGAACCCAGGAGGTGGAGCTTGCAGTGAGCCGAGATCGCACCACTGCACTCCAGCCTGGGCGACAGAGCGGGACTTCATCTCAAAAAATAATAATAATAATAAAATAATAATAATAATAATAATAAAGTAAAATCACATATTATAAATGTCTTAATAACAAAGCACACAGCCATGGGTTTTCTTTTTCTTTTTTACCTTGTTCCATTCTCTTCATTAGCTGTATCTGATCGACTGTTTTCTTCAAAATCTTGCATTTGTCTGGTTTTACACTCAAGCTGTCAATGTCACTAATGTTGGCAGACAGTAACTCAGCTAGTTCTTCTAAATATTTATTTTCTTGCTCCCTGCGCCTCTTTTCCGTGCTGTTACACAAAGAAAATCCAGTTAGTGTACATTTGTATCACCATATTTCCTTCTCTGATCAAGTATCTATGCTTACACATTTAGTGAGATCTTTATTTTTATCGAAAATATAAAACCAGATTTAGAAAGTGATATAAATTCACATCTAAAAAGTGGACATTACAAAATACCAAAATTTAGAAAACAATTCTGGCTAAAATATATAAAGTAAATTGACTGCTATAACAGATGTATTTCCCCAATCATATATACATCTTGAATATTTTCAAATAACAATTACTAGATAGTAAAAGCAAACAAGTAATAAACACAGCAGTTACATTTGGAACTACTTTATATTATGAATAACTTCTTGAAATAGAAAAATCTGAATTTTCAAATAACTGTTACAAATTAAGCAGAGAATACGATAATAGAATTCACAAGTTATAATTAGAAATCCAATAACTCTGATAAACTCTTAATTCTTATGATTAAACCATTAGTTGATCCTCATCAAAAAAGTATCCATTCAAAGGCAAAATAAGGATAATAATAATTAGAGACGAAGGTACAGTGAACAATGTATTCTGTATACAGCTGTGTCCTAAAAAGACAGAAAAAAAAATGATTTGTAAGTTCCTATAAATGCAATAAACAAAATCAAACAATTTATCTTAAAGCAAAATAATGAGAACAAGGTGCATACAGGTAGCACCTTTTTAAAAAAATATACCAAATGTACTGAATGACTATGATTCATTTTTGCCTTCCAGTCTTTAGCCCTGGTTTATTTAGCCAAGTCATCAGACAACTTGTTTTGTAATACATATAAAGACAGTTAAGTATGACTTTGAAATTTTGTTTTCATCAAACTAATATAATAGGAAGAAGTGGTCACAAGTAGCTCTTTGTTTTATAAGCAGCAATCAAAATCATTTGGCTACATATAAAAGTAACAGAAAAAAGAGGACAGAAGAGGGGAAGATCAGTTGCTATAGAGCTCATAATTGGCAACAATTAAGATACCATTTACTTTTCTTTTCTTTTTCTTTTTTTTTTGAGATGGAATCTTGCTGTGAGGCCAGGCTGCAGTGCAGTGGCGCAATCTCGGCTCACTGCAACCTCTGCCTCCCGGGTTCAAGTGATTCTTCTGCCTCAGCCTCCCAAGTAGCTGGGACTACAGGCGCACGCCACCATGCCTGGCTAATTTTTGTATTTTAGTAGAGACGGGGTTTCACCATGTTGGCCAGGATGGTCTCGATCTCTCGACCTCATGATCCGCCCGTCTCAGCCTCCCAAAGTGTTGGGATTATAGGCGTGAGCTACCAAGCCCAGCCCCATTTACTTTTCTTAATAATATTAAAGACTATAAAAACAATAGCACAAAACAATATAGTAAGTTGAAAAGAATCAACTAATCAAATGTATTTACCTACACAAAACAAAATATTACAAATACCAAAACAAAACCAAATTTTAAAACTGTGACGATCACGTTTGTCTTTTAAGTCTTTCATTATTGATGAGTTTTCCCAATTGTAGTTATTAAAATTGTATTTTATAACTCCCACAACAAGAAAATGCAGCAAGATATTTTGACAAATTACATACCAAGGCATGAATAAAATGAGTAACATACATTTTGATACATACAAGGTTTTAGGGAACCTCAGCTCTGCAACCTCACAGTGTTTGAAGACATCTACTTTTACCTTAGAGAAACTAATTGATATAAGATATATGTAGTAGATTCAGTCTAAAGTTCTGATCTATTTAAATCCATGGATCTAAACTGCAACACGAGTAAACTGGACTCTCTTCGTGGAACTCTCAAATATGTTTTTGATGGTAAGTTTTGTGTAAAACCAAAGAACTTGAAGACAGTATAGAGGAAAAGAAAAAAGTGATAGAACAGGCAGGACACGCAGACAGAGAGGGGATAGAGAAAGCAAGAAGCTAAAAGTAATGAACTGGCAAGGTGTCTATAAAATGACTAGAGATTGAGACTAGGAAAAATCACCATGAAATGAAGTAACCAATAAGCAAGGAGATAAAATGAGGGCAGATATGTTCAAAGTCAAAACTGGAGATGGCAAAAAAATTCTACCTTAATGGAAAAGAAGTCTTCCTTTATTACTCCGGGTCAACTATATTTCTCTCTTTACGAATCCCTTTTATTACCATTCATATTGCAGACCTTCTAGCTAATGCTATTCTGAGTTAATTTCTCAGGTGCATGCCTTTTTTCCTTCAACAAACTAGCTAACTCAACAAATACTCCTATACTTATTATATGCCAGATAACCATGTACTACTGTGTCTAGAGGATCCAAGAATAAATTAGATGTAGCTCTCAATTAGTCAGAAAATGAAGAAAACAGGCCATTACAATACTATGCAGCAAGACTAGAATACTATAGAAGTACATCTAGACCTAGAGAACAAGATACATGAACTCAGTGGTAGGGAGAGGCTGGCTTCCTGAAAGAAAAAAACAGCTTTTTCAAAGGTATAAAGTAAGAGTGAAGATACCAAGTTAACGAATCTATAAGTAGTTCAGTATAGCTAAACTATAGATAAGAAACAAAAGGGCAAGAGATGTGGTCCAGATCAGATCACAGGGATCTTGCCATGATAAAATGCATGGTATACTGCTTAAAAGCACAGGTTCAGCTGGATACAGCAGCTCGCATCTGTAATCCCAGAACTTTGGGAGACAGAGGCAGGAGGATTGCTTGAGGCTAGGAGTTCAAGACCAGCCTGGGTAACACAACAAGACCCTGTCTCTAAAAAAAAAAAAAGAAAAAAAAATTAGCCAGGCGTGATGGTGTGCGCCTGTAGTCCTAGTTACTCAGGAGGCTGAGTGGGGAGGATTGCTTGAGCCCAAGAGTTGGAGGCTGCAGTGAGTTATGACTGTGCTGCTCCACTCCAGCCTGGGCAATAGAATGAGATCCTGTCCCTTAACAGAAAAAAAAAAAAATGCACAGGCCCAAACTTCCTGTCATTTACTAGCCATGCAACCCTAGGCAAGTCACTTAGTGGAAAGTTAACTTTTCTAAGCTTCGATTTCCTTATCTGTAAAACTAGGATAATGACATTACTTTCCAGGGTTTTATATTAAAAAAGAGAATACATGTAAAATGCTTGGCAGAGTTCCTGGTATATACTTTTAGCTCAGTAAATGTTATCTATTATCATCATTTTGATTATGATTATTTATTTTCAGGGACATGGGGAGCCCAGAAATTTAAGAAGCAGAATGAGTGCCATGACCAGATTTGTAAGCTCCCTAAAGACAGAAACATGTCTCACATTTCACTTGTATCCTTAAAACATCATGCAAATGGTGCTGGCTGAAGAGTACGCACTTAACATGTACTTGAGTTGAATTGGAAATATTCAACAAGCATAAACACAGCTACCTATACTTTTGAGATTAACGTTTTAATCCTCATTCTCCTAGAAGAATGAATGAATGGAGAAGAGGTAACAGGAGGAAGATATGAGATATCTCACTCCACCAAACAGTTGCTGAGAAACTCCTATCCAAGGATCTGTGCACAATGCTGGCAATACCCTGATGTCTAACAGATGCTCTTTATGATTAAAGAATTCAATTCTGTTTGGGGAGACAGAAACATTACAAGGTGGCATTCATACATAAACTCAGTTTCAAAATTATACATTTTTAGTTTACCATATCAAATACATTGTTTTGTTAAAGCTGAAGCCCATATTTCAGTTATAAACCTCAAGGAGATGGTACTTTCAAATATTTTTAAAGCAAATGTGAATATAATTATCTTTAAGATATCTAAAGAAGAGAAAAAAGATATGAAACTTTTATATTTGTAATGATGCTATATACACAAAAACATCAGAGCATCTACAGATAAACCATTAAAACACATAAGAAGATTCAGCACAATGGATGGATCTGAAGAATAACCAAGAACGTCTTGTTTCATCACATATCAAGGCAATTATCATAAGAAAGCTCAGAACCAGATCCCTATATATACAGGAACTTGACTTATAATAAAGGTAACGGAATAAAAACAGTCAAGGGTAGTGTCATTACTGATAACTGGGAAAAACAATAAATACAATTAGGTCCCTATATTACACCATGCACAAAAATAAATTTCAGATTAATTAAAACCCTAAACATGTATTAGAAGAAAACATATAAAAATACATTTAAAACCTTAGAGTAGAAGAAAAATTATTAAACAAGACCCTAAAAAGCTTGACACATGAAAACCTATGGCTCTGTATGTCAAGAGACATCATAAATAATGTTAACCAACAGGTTGGGAGAAGATACTTGCATCAGTTATAAACAAGAAAAGGTTAATAACCAGAAAATTTAAAGTAAGTCTTAGAAACAAAAAATAAAAGAACAAACAACCCAGCAGGAACATGGGCAAAAGATACAACCAAGAAATTCATAAAGGAGGAAAATATAAATGAGTAAAAGACCAAAAAAAGGTGATCAGTTTATCTAATCATCATGGAAATGCCCTTTAAACTATAACCCCACACCCATTAGACTGGCAAAGTGTTAACATGAGAAGAGAACAGTGATAGTAAGAATGTGGGAAAAGAGGAATTCTCAATGCCTGTTATTTGAAAAACAATGTGGTACTTACCTAGTGAACATAAAAATTTACCTAGATATTAAAGAAACTCTTTTTTTTTTTTGAGCCGGAGTTTTGCTCTTGTTGCCCAAGCTGGAGTGCAGTGGCACTATTTTGGCTCACTGCAACCTCCACCTCCCGGGTTCAAGTGATTCTCCTGCCTCAGCCTTCTGAATAACTGGGATTACAGATGCCCGGCACCACAACTGGCAATTTTTTTTTTTCTTAAATAGAGATGGGTTTTCACTATGTTGGCCAGGCTGGTCTCAAACTTATGACCTCAGGTGATCCACCTGCCTCGGCCTTCCAAAGTGCTGGGATTACAGGAGTGAACCACTGTACCCAGCCAAAGAAACTTTTATGTATAAAATAGGAGATATGTGTGAGGATATTTGCTGCAGGGCTGGCTGTAACATTGAAAATTTGTAACAGGCTGTTTATCTCTAGGGAATGTATTTGTAGAAAAATATATTTTTCAAAGATGGTATATTCATGTAATGCAATACTAATCAAAAGTTAATGGGACTGAATATATCTATGCATATTTAAACCTCAAAATCCATGTTGAAAAAGTATACTATAGAAAATATATACAGTATTACATAAATTATGTAAATGTAATATTCTATATTGCTCAGATACCTGTGTGTGTATATATATAAAATACACACATAATTATTAAAAATAGATTAAAATACTGCAGACAAATCAATTGTTAATATTGTATTACTTTTAAACAGGATTATGCAAATATGATAACATATTAACAAAATAATAATATGATAAAATATTATCAATTACATTCTGTTGTATGATATAGTGTCTTCGCCTATATTCTTTTATATATTTAAAAAATTTCCCCAAACAAAAAATTAAATGTAAAAGATATTTATTCTTAGCTTTTCCTTTAAGGACTGATTTTATACACAGATAAAACAAGAGCATTAATTTTTGACACACTTCTAGATTGCATCTTGATCTCAACCTTCCTCCCAGCATCTGGACACTTACTTGTGATTATGAGTACTCAGGTTATTGTCTCTCTCTGACAGCTCTCTGAGCTGAGTAAGATAAATAGTCACTTTTCTTTCTCGAGCCTGGAGCCCTGGCATTCTCCTGTTAAAATCCTCCTTTTTTTCCTCCCATGAGAGAAAGCAGCATGTAATCCAAGGACAGAAGAGTCTTCTGTAGCTTTACTCTCTAGATCAGTGATTATCAACTAGAGGTGATTTTGTTTCCCCTGGCCCCAGGGGACATTTGGCAATGTTTGGAGACATTTTTGGTTGTCACAACTAAGATGCTACTGACATTTGGTGTGTAGAAGCAGGGATACTGCTAAACATCCTACAAAATACAGGACAGCTCCCCCACAACAAAAAATTATCTGACACGAAATGTCAATAGTGTGGAGTTTGAAAAACTTTCCTCTAAATCCTAGAAGATGAGTGGAATAAAATCTCCACTCATTCTAGGAAGCTGCTCTCAGGTAGGAAGCTAGCTGCTCTTTTAACCTAATATTAAATGAGCAGCTAGGGTATGTATCTGCAGAAAAACATATTTTTCAAATGTGGTATATTCATGTAATGCAATACTAATCAAAAGTTAATAGGACTGAATATAACTATGCATATTTAAATTTATCTGGCATTTGAGGTTTCTTCTCTATCTGGCATTTGTGAGGGTCTCCTTAGCATTAGGTTCCTTTTAGCCTGTTCAAGGTGGTCATATTCCTTATAACAAACCAAATATTTAACTACACAATCATTTTTTAAAATCCTGATATTTCTTAGCTCCATTAATGCCATAATGTTCTAAGATAGCAATTAAAGGTGTATAATAGATTTATATATTCATTTGACAAATCTTTACTGTGTTCTTACTATATATAAGCCACACACTGTTTTAGGAACTAAGGATACAATGATGAGCAAGAACAAACAAGGTCCTTTACCAAGTGGCAGCTTAGAGTCTAGCGGGGAAGCCAGAAATTCATGAAATAATCACACTAGTAAAAATCTGCAATTATGGATCATGGCTATAAAAACATCTGAGACAGATACATGAATGGAGGAACTTGATCTAACAGTTATGGAAGGAAGAGAAGGCTCTCTTTAAGTATGTAATGACTAAGCTGGCATCTGAAGGATGAGTAGGTGTTAACTAAAGGAAATCAAGAGGAAGCAAGCTGGATTGAGGGAGAAACATGTGCAAAGACCCTGGGGGAAGGAAGACAACATGGTGAGTATGAAAGACTCAAAGAAAGCCACTGAACTTGGAGTAGATTAAACAAAAGCTCTGAAGTGGCAGTGAAAGTAATAAAGCAGCTCTGCCAAAAATAGACTAAGAGGAGTGTTCCTACCTTGATGCCAGTGTGTCACATGGCGATCCTTTCCTCTTATGTGAGTCTGGGTTAGCAGGGTCGGATGAACTGTCCCCGAGGCCACTCATGTTGAAAAACTTCACACCTAAACAGGAAGGACAACAGTAAGAAATCTACCCTTATGACCTTTCCAACCAAATAAAGGTAGGGAAGCTCCCCTCTGTTAGAAAATTTCTAAAAATTGTGCTATATCAATGAATAGATAATTACAGCCATCATAAAAACATGAAGATCTACATAAAAGTACAGAGGTCATCAGATAGTGTTTCTATACTTTCTTTTCTACATCTGTAAAATAAAATTAATAATCCTTTGTGAAATTGTTACAACCAATTAGGATGAAAACATGGTTAGAATAATTAAATAGATACTGAGATTTTTTTTTCCAAAGAGAAAATAATCATTTTCACGTGTAAATGTAGAAGCCGAATGTTGAACTGGAGTCAGAGAAATTATTCTTTGCATTTATTATTTAGAAGCTGCTTTTCAAAAGAATTTAAAATAACTTTCACTCATAAGGTTTGGGATTTTATATTGATAGGAAGATAAATAGTACATACATAATTAAGTTAAAGTGATAAACTAGATTTAGATTTTGAATTGTACGCTGTGAGTTCTATACTCCTAACCTTTTGTTTATGTAGTCAGGCAACAAAGATCAAATGTTTAGTCTATGTTAGGATCTTGGTATAGATCCCAGAGAACACAAAGTCATTCCGCCTAGCACACCAGCCAGGTCTCTCACATGTTGCACCAGTTAGCAACTGCACTTAAAGATCCCTGCTGATCTGTCCCTCATCAACCATTATTCTCCATATAATCCCTAATGAAACTCAGAATCCTATCCTTGGTCTTACAATCATCACTACCTTTTGGATTTTATTAGTGCCAAACAACACACTTCACCATTCTCTTTTACTCCATCTACCCTTATAAAAGGAAAGAAAATTCTTGTTAAATGGGAGAACCTTTAGCTTTTCCTTAAATTCTAAATTATTAAACTACAGCACTGTATGTTAGCAGCCATACTGAAAAACTTTATTATAAAGAATGCTGAGAATCTCTCACATGGCTTTAACTGGTATGTCTGAGTAAACCCTTTTCTCTAGTCTTAAAACTGACTCTGCTTCTAGCCCTTTTCTGAAGATTAATGACTGTCATATTTTTTGGTGTACAAATAATCCCTAACATTTTAATCATGAACTTATTATTTCATGCAACCAAAAAGGCACATTTTCAATTTCTCCATATTAGAAGTGCTATTTATGAAAATTTCCAACTCTTAGGATCATAATTTTACAATTTTTTATTCTTCTCTTTTACTCATTTCTAACTGGCATTCAGATCCTGCTAATTTTTCCTTAACAAGATTGTCTCTTCCTTCTTCATTCCCAGATACAGTTATAATCCTCATTTGGAACCAAATACCTAATTGTAGATTAATGCAAGATCCTTTAATCTTGCTTCTCAATTCTAGTCATTCTCACTTCTAATCTGTCCTATAAACAGCAGCAAAAGCATCCCTGCTTAAGTATCATTTTCAAGGTCTCATTTCCCTGATAAGGAGTCAACTAGATTTGCCTACTGCAACATGGTAGTTAAAAGGATGGGCTTCCGTGCCGGGAAGAAATGAAGAGAAAAGGGAACTCGTATACATTTTTAGTGGGAATGTAAATTAGCGTAGCCATTTGGAAAAGAGCATGGAGGTTCTTCAAAAAACTAAAAATAGAACTACTATATATCTGATACAGCAATCCTACAAATATGCATATGTCCAAAGGAAATGAAATCAGTATGTTGAAGAGATATGTGCACTCCAATATTTATGTGGCAGTATTCACAATAAGCCAACATATGAAATCAACCTAAGTGTCCATCAACAGATATATGGGTAAAGAAAATGTGGTATATATACACAGTGAAATATACCAGACAGCCACAAAAAAGAATGAAATCTTGTTATTCATGGCAACATGGACAAACTTGGAGGGCATCATGCTAGGTGAAATAAGCCAGCCACAGGACAAACACTGCATATTCTCACTCATGTGTAAACTAAAGAAGTTAATCTCATAGAAGTAGATAGCAGAATAGTGGTTACTAGAGGCTGGGAAGGATGTGAGGAGGAGAGGATAGCCAGAGGTTGTTTAACAGATCCAAAAGTATAGCTAAATATGAGAAATTAGTTCTAGTGTTCTATAGCATTGTAGGTAACTATAATTAACAACAATTTATTTTCGAATAGCAAAAAGAGTAGATTTTGAATGTTCCCAATGCGAAGAAATGAAAAATGATTGACGTGAGGGACATGCTAATTACTCTGATTTGATCACACACATTGTACACATGTATCAAAGTATCACACTGTACCCTATAAATATGTTCAATTATTATGCAACAATTAAAAATAATAATAAAAGCAAAAACAAAACAAAACAAAAAACCAGCATGGGCTTTGGGGCCAGAAAAACTTTGTTTAAATCCTGGATTAAACACTACCTGCCTGTCCTTGGGCAAAGTCTCTCTATAAACCTATTTCCTTCTCATGTATTTCTTGTCTCAGTTGGTACACTGCAGTCATTCTAGCCTCTTCTCTCATATCCTGCATGCAAGCAAATGTCAGTTTTTACTTCTTCCTTTTTTTTTTTTTTTTTTTTTGAGACGGAGTCTCGCTCTGTCGCCCAGGCTGGAGTGCAGTGGCGGGATCTCAGCTCACTGCAAGCTCCGCCTCCCGGGTTCACGCCATTCTCCTGCCTCAGCCTCCCGAGTAGCTGGGACTACAGGCACCTGCCACCATGCCCGGCTAATTTTTTGTATTTTTAGTAGAGATGGGGTTTCACCATGTTAGCCAGGATGGTCTCGATCTCCTGACCTAGTGATCTGCCCACCTCGGCCTCCCAAAGTGCTGGGATTACAGGCGTGAGCCACCATGCCCGGCCATTACTTCTTAAATATTTCCAAAATCCATCCTTTCTTCATATTCTCCTTTACCAAGATCTCAATTCAGGTTCTCATTTAACTCTTTTGCTGGACTACTAAAATAGCTTCCCAAATAGCTTCTCCCTGTTTCCGGTCTTGTCCTCCTTAAGTTTATCCTCTGCAGACCCACCAGAGTAGGCTACCAAGTGTATATCTAATCATGTCAATCTCTTACTTAAAACCCTTCACTAAATCCTCAATGCCCATAGGACAACATCCAATCTCCTAAACATAATATATAAAGTTTGCATCTGCTCTCACCTATTGTGTGAGTCTATTATAGGATCTGGTGAATGAATTACTAAATGACAGTCCAATCAAGTGTTCATAGATTATATATGCCATGTATTATGTATTGCATATTACTATATGATCTACATATAAATAAAATTATGTTATATATATCATCTGTATATACAAGCATATAGATTATATATGTTAACTTTAGTTTCAACTTCAAGAAAAGACTTTAAAAATAAAATCCTTGGTAATATGTACTCAGCAAAGGTAAATATTAGACAAAAAGGTAAATACTAGCCAAAAAACTTTAAATTGATCTCAGTGTGGGAGAAGACCAATTTAAATTAGCTGCAAATATTTACTGAGCTCTTACCATATGCCAACCTCTGTTCTACGCACTAGAGATAGAGCAGTGAATAAAATTTACAAAATAACTGTCCTCATTAAGTTTCATTCTATTGTGACAGAGACAACAACACATAAAATTAAAAAGTAAGTTATAATACTTACTCTGGAGAAAAATAAAGCAAAAACAGAGGCTTAGGTATGTGGAAGTGGAAGGGAAGCAAGTAAGGTAATTAGGAAAGGATTCACTGAAAAAGTGAGAGATATGAACAAAGGTAAGAAGGGGGTAAGGGAGAGACAGCCAAGAGAATGATAAATGGAAGAAGGGTGCTTCTGGCAAGGGGAGGTAGAAGGACCTTAAAGCAGGAGCATAACTGCTTTTTGAGAAACATGAAAGAGGTGAGCATGGCTAGAACCTGGGGGATGGGGGAGTAAGTGACGAGTTCAGAGAGATAATAGGAGGCTATACCATGTAAGGTCTTAAAAGTCATTGCAAGGACTAAGTCCCAGTGACTGAGGCAGTCACTGGAGGATTAACAACAGAAGGATGATAGGATTTGACTTTTATTCTAAGACTTCCTCTGTGAAGAGTAAGTACAATCTTTCTCATCTTAGTAATCCGGTATCTGAATGTCCACAATCTTTCTCATCTTAGTAATTTGGTATCTGAATGTCCACTTGTTAACTGGATGTTTTCATTTGGATATCCCACTGTCACCTCAAATTAAACATGTATAAAAAATGATATACTTTTAAATTTCAGATTTCTGTTAATGATAAATGAGATGAACTGCATTACAGATTAATGTCTTAAAAAACAATTTATTAAACCTTCTATGGGGGTGACTGGAGAGGAAGGAACACACAATAAGGAAAATATAGAAGCCTAGTTGGCCTTTGCAAAATTTACAATTTAATATGAACAACCCCAATGCAAGGCAAATATACCAGACTTGCAACAGCCACCACAAAACAAAGTCAAAAGACCAACATGGTTTTGTTACCATCCATTCTAAAACTCAAACACAAAATAAAAATAATCAGTCCATTGTATTACTGGAACTAACAAAATATACACCTTGTTTTCCTGCAGAGATTCACAGAAGCATAAATAAGATTAACCAAAGTTCACATAAGTAAAGAAGTCATATAATTTCATATAAATAAAATGTATTTTAAAATTTAGTAATACAAAAATGAAATAATGCAATAAATTTGTAATAATGAAGCATCAATTCTAAACTTTTCTACAAAAGTAGAAACAAAAGAGAGAAGAAAATGCTGAACAAGGAAGTTGAAAGACATGACTTTAGAATTTGCCCAATTCAAAAGAAAAGAGTTGGCTAACGCTTACTTCATGTTCAGGGGCCATTTTTTGTTTCCTTAGCTGCTCATCTTTTCGGCCTCCAATGAAATTAGGTTATGTCCATCTAAGAATTTATCCATCTGAAATTCTACTTGTTCTCAAAATAATCCTGGGCCTATGTTTTTTTATTACAATGTGCTATAAGTTACAATTATTTTGTCTCCCTTTTGGGATTGTGAACTCAAAGCCAGTTATTAGATCTTTTTATTGTATATCCAATATCTAACACAATACCTAAAGGATAGAGAAACTAAATAAATAGGTGATGAATTAAAAACAATTAACCTATCTTACTAATACAACATTTAAGATTTCTAAAACAAAGATATTTAATTTGTATGGTTAAATATTTTCTGAAATATTTTTAAAATCTTTGAAATTATTTCTTATAATTGAGAAACATGAAATTTCTTAAAATCCTTATTGTCTTTCAATGGGAAAAAAACAGCAAACTGCCTTCTTGGTCTAGAAATTAGGGAATATTCTAATTTTGAAAAAGTAAAGATCTATTATTTTGTAAAAAAACAACCCGTGATATTTCACAGTACTACAAACCCAAGCCATGCTGCAGTTACATGATCTGAATAATACAATCTCACAGATTGAATAATTTTGAGTAATAAATACCTCTGGATCTAAAGCAAGATTCCCATATGTACTACCCTTAGACTACTAGCTGGAGATTCACAACTGCTATATCTGAGATTCTGGGGCTAGGGAGAGCAAACAACAAACAACAGCAGCCAGACAGGCTGGCCTACTGAAATAAGAGCCAAGAGCTGAAGAGCTATGAGACAGTCACCCATAATTTGCTGATAGTATGATTCTGGTATTAACTGCTTCCTGTTTACAAAACACAATAAACAAGGCAATGTAAAACTTCTCATGAGGAAAAACTATTACAGTTGTATTTATGTGAAATGGCTTTGTATTTCGCAGTCAGGGTACTTAAATAAGAATCATTAAGAAAATAAATGCTGGTTTCAGGAAACCAATTTGCATATCACTATTTAAAAAGAGGTAAGGTTTCTAAGTAAAAGTACCCTGTTGATTTAAAAAGAGTTGCTAAATTATACCCAATCTTATGCAATCTCTAGAGAGTAGTTTTAGGAACTAGAAACTACATTTATCTCTGTTCAAATGTACCAGACTAAACCAAACAGGTGAAGGCTAAAGAAATAGAACTGTGCCTTATAATTCAGTTGAATTTAAATTTCTACATAAGAAATCTGTCATTCATTTCTTGGATTTAGCTGAGAACTGCATAATTTTAAAAAGTCCCTGCCAATTAGTTAATAAACATTTCTAATAATATATTTAAAAATGCTTAGCAGGCAGTTAGCACGAAGAAGCATTTATATATAGTGAGAAGGATACTCTGAGAGCTAAATATCCCCAAGTTAATAGTTGTATGAAGGGCATCACACAGGAAAAACATGATAAATAGAGATCTGAACTAGGTAATTTCCAAAAAAATGTTTCTCAAACTGGAGTCCTAAGACACGTAAGGGTCTTTGAAACAAGTTTTCATTTTAGCTGTTCATTTCAATGACAACCAAAATCTTTCTCATGTGGTAAGGAAGGATAGGGACTTCAGGATTTTCACTGCCTTTTTAATAATTGAATAATATTCTATTGTTTGGAGATGCCATATTTTGTTTATCCATTCACCAGTGGATGGATATTTAGGTAGTTTTCACTTTTTGAATATTATCAGTAATGCTGCTGTGAACATTTATGTACAAGTTTTTATGTGGCCATGTTTTTAATTCTCTTGAGTATTTAACTAGGAGTGGAACTGTTAGGTTATACAGTAACTCTTTAACTTTTTGAGGAATTATCAAAGCCAGTTTTCCACAGTAACTACACCATTTAAAATTCCCACCAGTAATGTACAAGGGTTCCAGTTTTCCACAACCTCACCAAATAAAGAGTTATTTCCTGTCTTTAAAAAATTACAGCCATCCTTGAGGGTGTGAAATGGTATCTCATGGTTTTGATTTCTATTTCCCTAATCACTAATGACACCAAGCATCTTTTCTTGCACTCATTGGCCATTTGTATGTCTTATTTGGAGATGTGTCTATTCAGCTCCTTTGCCTATTTTTTAAAAACTAAATTTTACTGTGTATATTTATGATTTACAACATGATGTCATGAGATGAGGATATGTAGTAAAATGGTTATTATATATATTATGATGGTTATATTATTATTGTAAATGAACAAATGAACATATCCATCATCTCCCATAGTTACCCATTTTTCCCCACTATGGCAATGTTTTATTCTCTATCTCTGTATATTTGCCTTTGTTTTTAAAGATGCCTCATGTAAATGAGATTATGCAATATTCTTCTTTCTGTGTCTGACTTATTTCACTTAGCAAAATGTCCTCCAGGCTCACCTATGTTGTGGCAAATGGCAGGATCTCCTCCTTTTTAATGGCTGAATAATATTCCATTGCATATATATATTACAACTTCTTTATCTATTTGTCCACTGAGCAACCCCTAGGTTGTTTCCATGTCTCAGCTATTGTGAATAATGCTGCAATGAACATGGGAGTGCAGACAGCTTTATGAGCTGATTTCATCTCTTTTGGGTATATACCCAGAAAAGGTATTGCTGGGTCATATGTTAATTCTGAGTCATATGTTAATTTCCTTAGGAGTATCTATACTGTTTTTCATAATGGCTGCTCCATTCTAAGTTCCCATCAAAAGGGTACATGGGTTCCCTTTTCTCAACACCTTTGCCAATACTTGTTATCTTTTGTCTTTTTGATACAGGTTGAGCATCCCAAATCTAAAAATCCCAAACCTAAAATGATCCAAAATCCAAAAATTTTTGAATGCCAACATAACACTCAAAGGAAATGCTCATTGGAGCATTCTGCATTTCAGATTTTCGATGCTCAACTGGTAAGTATAATGCAAATATTCTAAAATCCATAAAAATCCAAAATATCAAACAATCCTGGTCCCCCAAACATTTTTGATAAGGGATACTCAACTTGTAACAGCTATCCTAATAGCTGGTAGATGTGAGGTGATAAAGTGGCTTTTACTTACATTTCCTTGATCATTTTATGATGTTGAGCAACTTTCATATACTTGTTGGCCATTTTTATGTCATCCTTAAAGAAATATCTTTTCAGGTCCTTTGCCTGATCTTTATCTGGGTTATATGTTTTCTTGCTATTGAGTTGTAGGATTTTGGGTTGGGTTTAACTTGTCTTTTTATTGAGTCATAAGAGTGCTTTACATTCGGGGTATTAGACCCCTATCAGATATATGACTTACAGATGATTTTCTCCAATTCTGTGGTTTCTCTTTTCATTTTCTTTACAGTATTCTTTAATGAACAAAAGTTTTTAATTTTAATGAAGTCCAACTTATCTACTTTTTCTTCTTTAATAGGTCCAAT
Source organism: Homo sapiens (assembly GCF_000001405.40). Lineage (NCBI taxonomy): Eukaryota > Metazoa > Chordata > Mammalia > Primates > Hominidae > Homo > Homo sapiens. Next base: position 24,650,386 of record NC_000002.12, on the reverse strand, counting down.
GTCTGGCCCCCTTAGGGACAGATACTACTGATTGTTATTTTTCCTGTATATGGGCCAAATATTTTTGTTTCTTTGCATGCCTCCTAATTTTTGTTGAATACTAGATATTTTGAAGCTAATTGAATGGGTAGGGATTTCCTGAAATCCCTGGAAACAAAAGTTCTCTCAAAATCCACAATGCCAGGGCCCAAATTGAGATGGTAGTTATCCTTGGCCCAGAGAAGAGACCCTGCTCCCCTAAGCTTCTACCATAAATCACTGCCAACGTTCTTAACCATTATGGCCAAGAATAAAAAGCAAAATCAAATAAATGGATTCAAAGCAATCAATGAATTCTTAAAAATCAAAACACCATTTAATCTTATTTCATATTCTACTATAAAATACTAGATTTTTCTTATAGTGCTTTTTGTAAAAGAGAATCCTGTGCAGTCTTTTAAATTTATTATGCTAATAATAAAGACATTATCAAGGATTTGGTAACTTGCCCTCTAAATGTATCTTAATGTTTGAAACAATATATTTAATACGTCTGTGTTTACCACTAAAAGCTTATTCCACAGACTAAGCGACAATGCTTTTTTTCTTTGCATTAATTTTTCTAAATACAAATAAGTTTGAAAAAAGAAAAGTTTATTTTGTTTTCTATTAACAAATACATAGAAAAAGGAAAACCAAATTAGTTTTAAAACCTAATATTTTCCTCATATTGGCTTCATTTAAAATTTAATTTTAAGATGAAGAATAAACATTTGCCTTATTAAAATATTCCTAGTATATTCACGACTGAGGGAAAATAGCATTGTATCACATATTTGTGGCAGCTATCTTATTAGAACAAATTAGCAAAATAACTCAACATTTCCTTATGAAACTATGAATCCAGTTATCTTAAGAGTGACATAGAGTTATGCAGGTATACTGCACATGTCTTCCAAAATCCACTTTAATTTGTGTTGGTATTTCTTGAGGAAAAATCAGTCGTCCTAACTATAGCTATCTTCAGCTGGTATAAACAAGAATATAAGTATTTAATATTTACTTGCAGGCGTACAAAAGAGTTTTATAAGAGTTTAGCAGAAGCAGCCTTAAAAAAGTAAATGATCATTTTGCTTTGTCATTTGCACAGACAAAACTGAGTGATAAAAATTTCAGTGTTGCTGGGTGCAGTAACATGTGTCTATAATCCCAACTACTCAGGAGTCTGAGGTGGGAGAATTGTTTGAGCCAGGAATTCAAGTGTGGTCTTGGCTACACAGACAGACTATGTCTCTTTTTAAAAAAATAAAATAAATAAATAAAAATTAAAAAAAATTTTAAATGTCTGCCTCTTTTTACTAACCTCTTTCAGAGATTCAGATAATAGTGGGCAGAAAAACAGCTAGAAGCCAGAACCAAAAGAAAATGAAGATCTGCATTAGATACAGATAATCCACAAATGATTATCCAAAATCAAATAACTACATTTACACAAAAAATTACTTCAATATCTAAAATAAAGAATTCAGTCCCAGATCAGAAGCTATTCAATTTTGATCAACTATTTTAGAAACCCATTTCAGAATACAGTATAGTTAAATATATATATCTACACCAATAAAAGAAAAATAAATACACTAAAATCTGTTCTTTAATGGTATATGGTAGAAGAAGTACCAAAGTCATAGAGCCAAATGAGTCAAAATAATTGACCAAAATAATGGAATTGTATTTTGAGGGTGTTATAAAATGATTAAGTCAGACAAACCTCCGGTTAACTTCAGGGTCACCCTCCCAACCTGAAAGGGAAAGGGCACAGATAAAATCACAATATGAGGGCTGGGTGCAGTTGCTCACGCCTGTAATCCCAGCGCTTCAGGAGGCCAAGGCGGGTGGATCATGAGGTCAGGAGTTCGAGATCAGCCTGGCCAACATGGTGAAACTCCGTCTCTACTAAAAATACAAAAATTAGCCAGGTGTGGTGGCGGATGCCTGTAATCCCAGCTACTTGGAAGGCTGAGGAAGAGAACTGCTTGAACCCGGGAGGCGGAGGATGCAGTGAGCTGAGACTGCATCACTGCACTCCAGCCTGGGCGACACAGTGAGACACCGTCTCAAAAAAAAAAAATCACAATATGAGCCAATCTTCACTGACCACATTTATAGAAAAGATATGCATTTTGTAAAGTCCAGCTTAAAACCTAAGTCATCTTACTTGATTCATTTATATTCGGCAATATTTTATTGATATCCACTGAAAAATGAAAAAAAAAATCCCAAGCATTTCATGTAAATGGCTGGTTAAATAGCATCAATATCCTCTTAATGCTAACACTAAATGTGGCTAGCTATATTCCTTCTGCTGCAACGACCAGCTAAAGACTAACTTGGAACAAGTGAAACTCAAATTCCATTTTCCGGGGTTCTCAATAGAATAATAATTATGATAACAAACAGAATAATAACAATAAAAAGAATGCTCACACATTTTAAACTGGAGATGCAGACTTTTAAATTTTTAGAATAAGGACCCCTGCAATTGTCACCCAGTACAGTACTTCTCAAATATTTCGACTATAGGCCACTTCAGTGGTATAAGCATGCTTACCCTTCCAGTTGCCACTTTCACATTATAAAGTCAATAGTAACAAATAATTTGAGAGAAACAAAATAATAAAAAGTTTACAAGTTAAAATGTAAGCCCATTAATATGCATCTAAAGGATATGACATTATATATATATTGAGCATGTAATATATGTTTTATATGCATTAATTCACTTATTTCTCACAACTGCCCTATGAAGTATACATTATTATTTCCATTTTGACAGTTTTATCATACTAATAAATTATGCTCTGATGATGATGATAATGAATACTAACACTTATGTAAGATTTACCATGTGCCTATCACTGTTCTAAGCACCTAACCTATGTTAATTAATTCCCTCATAAACCTTACTAACTCATTTACTCATAAAACATCAGGTAGGTAATATTATAATCCATGTTAGTGACGAGAAAACTGAGGCATGGACAAGTTACTTAATCTGCTCAACAACTTAAGCGGCAGAGGAAGAAATCGGTCTTAGGTAATCTGGTTCCAGAATTTGCATACGCTTTAAGTTATATCACTAACCTACAGTCACATAACTAATAAATAGAAAACCCATCAATATAGCCCCAATCTTTTGCTTTGGCCTCCACATCAAAATATTTCCTTAATATATCCAGTAAGAGCCTTACAGAAAAGGTGACATTAAAATATACCACATCTAAAAACTAGGTAGTATACAAGGTACTCAAACATATAAACAAAGAATCTTTTCTATCCTTAGTCCAAACATCACATGAAAATAAAGTTATTCATATAGCGAATCGTGACTTACCTTCTATCATACGTTATAATATAAAACCAATTATTTCTTATAAGATGTCAAGGACTTTAAAATAAAATGCACTGTTCAATCAAAATCAAAAGTTCTGCTTTTGCAAACCCTAATTTTTGTTCCAAAGTTTATAAATCTTGGGTCCTACAATTTGTGTGTGTGTGTATGTGTGTATAATTCCTTTCAATAACACCTAAATTATCTTAGTGATTCTAGTTTCTAGATTTCCTTTGTTCCAACAGACTTTATCCTGAAAACTCTTTGTAGACTTTGTTATTTAAGATAACCTTTTCATTAAAAAAAAAAAAAAGAAAGAAGAAAAAAGAAAAATCCATGAATCTCCATCCCCTATCACAGCCTTTTTAGGAAGGAAATAGGTGGAAACAGACAATCCTGAAATGAGGACCATTGTACAAAATAGCTGACCTGTACTCTTCTCCAATGTCACTATCATGGAAGGCCCTACTATGAAAAACAAAGAAAAGCTAATAAACTATTCCAGGTTAAAGGAAACCAAACAAATGTGACAACTATGCAATCTATGATTGTGAATCAGACAAATGGTAAAATTTTAATGTGAACTATATATTAGATAACAGCAATAAAAAATGTTGTTTCCTGAATTGATTATTATATTGTGGTTAAGTAGGAAATATTTTAGAGTGAAGGATCATGATTGTCTACCACTTTTTCTCAAATGGTTCATCATTGTCATCGTAATGGTAGAGGGGGAAGGGGAAAAGGAAAAGTAAATACAGAGAGAGATAAAGCAAATTCCATAAAATGTTTATAATTGGTGAAACTGGGCAATGGGCATGCAGGTGTTCAGTCTAGCAATTTTGTAACTATTTGGTACATTTGAAATTGTTTTTAATGTTAAGAAGAAATAGAAAAGATGAAAAATGTCATTATAATGAGGAAAATGACTTTCTTAGAGTCACTCACTGAACAATGAGGAAAGACAGACACCAAGCTAATGTTCAGTCACTGCATTATTCTATCAATTTTCTCCTCCTTTCTCTTTCATAAAGTCGAGGTACTAACATTACTTTCCTGAAAACTCTTAAAGAGATGGCTCTCCTACTTAATTAAAATTTCTCTTTATTATAATACATCCTACTCAGCAAAACTTTCTTTTTTAATCAGAATACTTAATTCATTTATTGCTCCTTAGGGAGAACCAACAGTCCTGATTGGAAACAACAGAAAACATAAATTAATACAGGTTGAGCATCCCAAGTCCAAAATCCGATATGCTCCACAATCTGATGATACTCAAAGGAAATGCTCACGGGAGCATATAGGATTTCAGATTTCGGATGCTCAGCTGATAAGTATACTGCAAATATTTTAAAATCCAAAATATGGAACACTTCTAGTCCCAAGCATTTCAGATATGGGGCACTCAACGTGTAAATACAAATGTATCATCAGTTAATAAAAGCCAGAAACAAAGAGTTGTGTTTGCTCTAGCAACTGATGAAATTTTTTTTTTTTTTTTTTTTTCTGAGAGGAGTCTCGCTCTGTCACCCAGGTTGGAGTGCAGTGGCTCGATCTCTGCTCACTGCAAGCTCCGCCTCCCAGGTTCACGCCATTCGCCATTCTCCTGCCTCAGCCTCCCGAGTAGCTAGGACTACAGGCGCCCACCACCACGCCTGGCTAATTTTTTTTTTTTTTTTTTGTATTTTTAGTAGAGACGGGGTTTCACCTTGTTAGCCAGGATGGTCTCAATCTCCTGACCTCATAATTCACCCGTCTCAGCATCCCAAAGTGCTGGGATTACAGGCGTGAGCCACAGCACCTGGCCAAAACTGATGCAATTTTAAAGAGGCAGAGATAGTAAGATTAGATGAATATCTTCTTAAATAATTTTGTACCTCCAGTCCTTGCATTAAAGCTCTCTGCCAACTGAGAGTTTTGCCTCCAACTTCCAAACTCATTGTTAATTCCAAACACAGGCATTGTTGGCCAACTAAATTTTACTGCCTTTAACTTCAGTGATCTATAAAACCCCACACTCTAGGTTGACAGGTATCACTCTCCATAGTGACAACTGTCGCCTCCTTTAAAAGTGAATGGGCGTGCAGCTGGGACACATGGATGAAGAGGATTTCTGGGGTGGTGGTATTGTTCTACTTCTTAACCCAGGCGATGTTTACACAAATATGTTCAGTACATAATAAATAAAAAGTTATATGCTTATAATTTTTTATTTTTATCTATGTATAATTCAATTACAAGTCTATTAATTAACAAATTTTCTCCTGGAAGTTTTCCCTTACTGATTTATCAGTTTCTGATCACTCTTCAACTCTTTTATCTACTGTCTTGGCTTGGTACATGTTTATTTTTCTACTGCTCCCATTAGTATGTTCACGGATATACTGGTTCTATTCAGCTAGCTCACAAACTCAAACAGCAACAATGTAAAAATGCCCATATGGACACTACATACACATAAATTACATAGGTATATATTATATGGGTATACCTACAATTACCTATATATTATACAGGTATACCTATAATTATATAGGTATATATTATGTAATTTTATGCATATATGTATAAAATTAACTGGATATATGTTAGAAATATATGAAGCAAATCTGGAGATGGTTTACTACAGTTTCTGCTGCCATTTTCAATTCAGTAAGGACTTTGAGGGTCTCATCATAAGTGATTTCGACATACACTAAAATAGCTTCATAAAGTGTATCCTAGAACTTTCCTATCATTTTCACTTAGGAATGTGAGCACCTGTTTTACACTAACCTTGAAGCAACCCAGATCAAACACATATTTCCATAAAAGATAACAGTCAACAGGTAATCATGTTCCTTCCATACTTTTGCAGAGACAAAGCTCTTTAAAAATAGAACTACAATTCCTACCTGGGAGACTTCTTTGTTCATAATGAATCCTCAAAACAGATATGGTCAAATCTTGAGTTCCAGAGGGTAGCTTCCCGGGGAATGGGATAATGATGTTTTCCAGAGATGGCTCTAGTCTCTTCACTCTCACCTCATTTAAGGCCAATTATATAAACAACTAGAATAAAAAGACAAAAATAAAAGCAGAAGGGACGTTAGATTGCCATTTTATTCTCCAATAAATAATAAAGGTCAGATATGCTAGAAAAAGAAAAAAAAATGCAACTTTTAGAGTGAAATGGAAAAATATTTCCAAAAGACAATGAATAAAGATCTCATTTTACAGCTTAAGTCCTTTCTGGTGATTAAGTATATACTCCTATTTGAGAATGCTGCTTAGGTAATACATAATTGCATCTATCTGTAAACTTCTGAAAGACTCATTTACATGTCTTTTAAAAGTTGTTTCTGGCTGCATTTGTATATTTATCCTTCTTCCTACTTATAAATTCTGATTTTTTTCATGTTTTCAGTTATCACATAATTATTTACTTATGTAATACTCCTATAATATTTTGTCTTCAAATTTCTAACTGAAAAAGTTTATAAACATTTTATGTTTGTAAAACTTCAAAAAGATGTTAGTTGAGCTCTGGTTCTAGTAATGATGAACTACCTTATATCGAACTAATTTGCCCACAGTTAACAGTTATAAACTCTGGACAAAATATAAAAAACAACTGTTTGAAGAAATTGGAAAGTGACCAAGGCAGACAGAAATTGTAGGGGTTCTGATCATTGAAAGAAAGGAATTACACTGGGTGAGATACACACTTATGAGACTCTCCTGGAAGGGAACTCGGAACTCTTCCCAGTACTCCCACTTAAGTGCAGAGAGGCTAGGTTTAAAGGAGAAAACCACAGTCTTATTGGCTTGAGGCATTAAAGAATGTAGATCAGAGCTAAAAGAAAGCTGGAAATTGAGTAGACTAGATTACAGACCTTACTTGAATTTTGCCAGTTTTTGCATGCACTCATTTTTTGTATGTCTTTTTTACAATTCTATGACATTTTAGCACATGTACAGATACATATAACTACACCACAATTGAGATTCACTGCTTCATCACCACAGCTGAATTGTTTCATGCTGTTTATAATCACATCCACCTTCCCCTTTCCTTAACTCTTGACAACTGCAATCTGTTCCCTATTTCTATAATTTTTGTCACTTTGAGAATACTACATAAATTGAATCATATAGCATGGAATCTTTTCAAGTTGGCTTTTTTCACTCAGCATAATGCCCTTGAGATCCATCCAGTTTGGTGCACGTATCAATAGTTCATTCCTTTTTATTGCTCCATGGTACAGTTGTGCCACAGTTTTTTTCACCATTTGTCCTTTAAAGTGCATTTGGGTTGTGTTTAGTTTTCGGCTATTACAAATAAAAGCTGCTATGAATATTTCTGTACAGGCTTTTGTAAAAGCATTTGTTTTCATTTCAATGCCCAGGACTGTAATTGCTGAGTTGTATAGTTAAGTGTATGTTTACCAGCCAGTAATTTAGCTGTCTACTAGAAGATAAATCAATACTCTTCAAAAAGAGATAACAATCCACAATGTCATCCACAATATCCAGTACACAATAAAAAATTACTAAACATGCAAAGAAGGTAGAAAATGTAACTCCAGATCAGGAGAAAAGGTAGTCAACAGTAACACACCACAAGATGATTTAGGTGTTGGAAACACCTAACAAAGATGTGAAAGTAGCTATTATAAATATGTTTAAAGATTTTAAAAAATATATATATATATATATTTATATACATATAATGGGTAAACACATGAGAAATACTGGCAGCAAATGGAAACTGAGAAAGAAATAAATGGAAATTCAAGAGCTAGATCCTTCAATAGCAAATTCTAAGATTCACTGGCCAGACTTAACAACAGATTTGTGACAGCAGAAAAACAAGTCAGTGAACTTGAAATGAAAATAATACCCAGTCTGAAGAAGAAAGAGAAAAGAAACCACACAACCACACATACCCCTACTATAATCTGGGGAAAACACATACACACACACATACGCACGCGCGCACACACACACACACACACACACACACACACGCCCTCTGTAATCTGCTGGCAATACCAAGCATGTAATTGATGAGAGGCGAAAGACACTGGGGCAGAAATAGTATTATGGGGAAATAATGATAGAAAATTCCCAAAATTTGGTGAAAAATAAACTGTCAGATCCAGTGTCTCAATAAATCCCACTCAGAATAAATATAGAGAAACCAACTCTGGCAAAGTCCAGTCAAACCGCTAAAAAAAAATTAAGACAAAATTTTGAAACTAGCTTGGGCAAGGTAGCACGTCACATACAAGGAAACAAAGATATAAATGGTAACTGGTTTCTCATTGGTAACAACAGAGGCAAGAAGATAATGGAATAATTTCTTCCATTAAAATGCTGAAGGGGGGTGGGGAGCCCTATCAACCCACAATTCTACATCCAGCAAAAATATCCTTCAAAAAACTGAAGGCAAAATTAAAAACACTTTCATATAACCAAACATAATCTGTTTTAAGATTAATATATAAGAAATACTAAAGGAACTTTTTCAGGCTAAAGGGAGATGATGCTAGATAAAGTCAGATCTACAAAACAGAAGCAAAAGCATCAGAAATCATAAATATGAGGGTAAATAAAACGGACTATGTATTTTTTATTATTTAAAAGATGTATTTATTCTTTTTATTCTTTAAAAGAAGTATGTATTTTCTTTAAAAGATAAGTGATTATACAAAAATATATTAAAATATATAAAATATTGTGGAGTTTATAATATATTAAATGTTAATTATATTACAATAATAGCACAAAGGTATAAATGCAATTACACTGTTGCAAGGCTCTTAAATTTTACATAAAGTATTACAATGTTAACTACAAATAAATTTATAAATTAAGGATATATATTTTAATTCCTAGAGCATCCACTTAAAAATTATAAAAGAGTAGTGTTCAAAAGGTTATAAAGGAATTTGAAAATATAAGAAAGTATAGCTAAAAAGTTAACAGGAATTGTTAGCACTCTACTAAAAAATGTTTGGTTAACCCGAAAGAAGGCAAGAAAGTAGGAAAAGAAGAACAAGGAGCAAATGGTATCTTAAACCCAACCACATTAATTACATTAAATATAAAATAACTAAACATTACAATTAAAAGATGGAAACTAGGGAAAAAGCAAACCCACACTATATGCTGTCAATAAGAGGTATAGTTTAAATATAAACATACAAATAGACTGAAAGTTTAAAAAATGGAAAAGAATATATTACACGAACAGCAAACATAAGAAAGCAATATAAATATCAGCGAAAGTAGACTTCAGGACTAGGAATGTAACTAAACATAAAAAGGGAAGTTTCTTAAGAAAGCCAATGCATCAGGAAGACAGAATCAGAATTTTAAAGAAATTTTTAATTGTTTTAGAGATGGGGTCTTGCCCAGGCTGGTCTTGAGCTCCCAGGCTTAAGTGATCCTCCTCCTGTGGCCTCCCAAAGTGCTAGGATGATAGATGTGAGCCACCATGCCCGGCCAGAATCATAAGTTATGCAAATAATAACAGAGCTTCAAAATAAATGAAGCATAAACAGAACTTAAAAGAGAAATAGAAAAATCTGTACATATCATTGAAGATTTTAACATTCCTCTCTCAATAATAGATAAAACAACTAGATTTTTAAAAACCAGTAAGGAAACAGAAGATTTGAAGAAGAGTGATGACTAGCTTGTCCTAAATGAACACTCGTAGAACAGTACATCCAACAACTGGCAAATGTACATTTATTTTCAAGTGCACATGAAAATATTACTCAACATGAAACAAATGGTGAACCATTTTTTATATAACACGTTTCTAAAGATTGAAATCTTAAAGGGTATGTTCTCTCACTACTATGGAATTAAGTTAGAAACCATTAACATATCCAGAAAAGTCTTAAATAGGTAGAAATTTGACAACATACCTGTTAATGACCTACAGTGAAAGAAGAAAATGCAATGGAAATTAGAAAATAAGTGAAACTGCAATAAAGTAAACATAAGACATCAAAATCTGTTGAATGACTCTGAAGTTGCGTTTATACTCTGAATATATATATATATATATATATATATATATATATATATATATATATATATATATACACACACACATACTTTTTTTTTTTTTTTTGAGACAGAGTCTCGCACTGTCGCCCGGGCTGGAGTGCAATAGCACGATCTCTGCTCACTGCAACCTCCGCCTCCCAGGTTCAAGAGATTCTCCTGCTTCAGCCTCCTGAGTAGCTGAGATTACAGATGCCCACCACCATGCCCAGCTAATTTTTTGTATTTTTAGTAGAGATGGGGTTTCATTATGTTGGTCAGGCTGGTCTTGAACTCCTGACCTCGTGATCCACCTGCCTCGGCCTCCCAAAGTGCTGGGATTATAGGCATGAGCCACCACGCTCAGCCTATACTCTGCTTATATATTTTTAAAAAGTTTAAAATCATAGGTATAAACTAAAAATAATACATTTAATATTCTAATCAATGGAATAAATATGGACAACTGAAAAAAACTAAAGCTAAAAGTTGTTTTATTTTGAAAGGTAAAAAATTGATAAAACTTTAGCAAGATTGATCAAGAAAAAGTTAAAAACACAAATTACTAATACTAGAAATATGAGGGATGTCACCACAGATCATACAAATATAGTGTTCTGAACAACGTAATAAAAATCAATTCAGTAACTGAGATAACATGAAAAATCTCAAAAAATTAATTTTTTTATTTTATTTATTAAAATAACCACAGAAAGAAACAGACTGTATGTATTAAATAAATTTGTAATTAAAAACAAAACAAAACTCCAGGTCCAGATGGCATCACAGGTAAGTTGTATCCAACATTTAAGGAAGTAATAATAGCAATCTTACACACTTTCAGGAAAATAGGAGAGGATATTTCCCAATGTGTTTTATTAGGCAAACAAAACCCTAATACTAAAACCTGGAAAAGATATTAACGGAAAAGAAAATCAGCCTCATGAGTACAGATTTACAAAAAAAATCAAATTGAATCCAGACATATTTAAGAATAGACTATTATCAAGTGGTATATCCGAGGAATGTAAGGCTGATTTAAAATTCAAAAACCAATCTTCTGACAGGAGATTAATATCCAGAATATACAAGGAACTCAAATATCTCAACAGCAACAACAACAACAACAATCTGATTTTAAAAATGGGCAAATAATCTGAACAGGCATTTCTCAAAAGACATACAAATGACCAAAAGTCATACAAATATATGGAAACATGCTCAACATCATTAATCATCAGGGAGATACAAATCAAAACCACAATGAGGTAATCATCTCACCCCAGTTAGGATGATAGCTATTATCAAAAAGACAAAAAATAACAAATGCTGATGAGGATGTGGAGAAAAGAGAACTCTTAAACACTGTTGGTGGGAATGTAAACCAGTACAACCACTATGGAGAACAGTATGGAGGTTCCCCAAAAGAAAAGAAACTACAAATACAACTACCATATAATCCAGCAATCCTACTACTTGGCATTTAGGTAAATAAAAGGAAATCAGTATTATTGAAGAGACGTCTGCACTACCATGTTGACTGCAACACTATTTACAATAGTTAAGATATGGAATCAACCTGGGTGTCCAACAACAGATGAATGGATAAAGAAAATGTGGCATAGATACACAACAGAGTACTATTCAGCCATAAAAAAGAATGAAATCCTGCTATTCATGGCAATGTGACTGGAACTGGAAGACATTAAGTGAAATAAGCCAGGAACAGAAAATTAAACATCACATGTTCTCACTCCTATGTGAAAGCTAAAAAAAAAAAAAAAAAAAAAAAAAAGTTGATCTCATAGAAATACAAGTAGAACATAAGATACTAGAGGCTGGGAAGGGTAGGGGGAAGAGGGATAGGGATAGAGAGAGATTTGTTGAAGGATACAAAATTATAGCTAGATAGGAGGAATAAGTCCTAGTGTTCTATACCACTGTTGGATAACTACAGTAAACAATATATTGTATAGTTTCGGCCAGGTGCAGTGGCTCACGTCTGTAATCCCAGCACTTTGGGAGGCCGAGGTGGGCAGATCACTTGAGCTCGGGAGTTCAAGACCAGCCTGACCAACATGGAGAAACCCCGTCTTTACTAAAAAATACAAAATTAGCCGGACATGGTGGCGCATGCCTTTAATTCCCGCTACTTGGGAAGCTGAGGCAGGAGAATGGCTTGAACCTAGAAGGCGGAGGTTGCGGTGAGCCGAAATCATGCCATTGCACTCCAGCCTGGGCAAGAAGAGCAAAACTCCATCTCAAAAAACAAAACAAAACAAAACAAAACAAAAAACCCCCAATATATTGTATAGTTTCAAACAGCTAGAAGGAAGGTAATGAATGCTTGCAACATAAAGAAATGATAAATGTTTGGTTTTTTGTTCTTGCGATAGTTTACTGAGAATGATGATTTCCAATTTCATCCATGTCCCTACAAAGGACATGAACTCATCATTTTTTATGGCTGCATAGTATTCCATGGTGTATATGTGCCACATTTTCTTAATCCAGTCTATCATTGTTGGACATTTGGGTTGGTTCCAAGTCTTTGCTATTGTGAATAGTGCCACAATAAACATACGTGTGCATGTGTCTTTATGGCAACATGATTTATAGTCCTTTGGGTATATACCCAGTAATGGGATGGCTGGGTCAAATGGTATTTCTCGTTCTAGATCCCTGACACGTGGACACAGGAAGGGGAACATCACACTCTGGGGACTGTTGTGGGGTGGGGGGAGGGGGGAGGGATAGCATTAGGAGATATACCTAATGCTAAATGACGAGTTAATGGGTGCAGCACACCAGCATGGCACATGTATACATATGTAACTAACCTGCACATTGTGCACATGTACCCTAAAACTTAAAGTATAATAATAATAATAAAAAAAAGATTTTAAAAAATCTCAAAAAAAAAGAAATGATAAATGTGTGAGATGAGGGATACGCTATTAATAATTATCCTGAGCTCATCACCATACATTATATGTATCAGACATCACTATGTATCCCATAAATATGTACAATTATTATTTGTCAATTTAAAAATTAACATAAAAAATTTAAATCTACATAATTTACCATATTAACAGAATCTTAAAAAAAACTCAATGGATGCAGAAAAAGCATCTGAGAAAAATCAGCACCCATTCATGATAAAACTCTCAGTAAGCTAAAAATTAAAAGTTATTCCATCAATCTGATAAGGGAGATAAATGAAAAACCTACAGCTAGTATTTTATATAATGGTAAAATACTGCAAGTTCTCATAATACTGCGTTCAAGTCAAGAATGTTCACTCTCCCTACTTCTATTCATCATTGTATTGAATATAGTGGAGTTCCTACGTAGGGCAAAAAGGCCAGAAAGAGAAATAAAAGTTAGGTTAGAAAGAACTAAAATTGTCTTTATTTATTTAAAAATGAATTTTGTGTCAATAATTTTAAGGAATCTGAGAACCAATTATTAGAATTAAGTGAATTTGGCAAGGTGAATATACTATACAAAGTTGAATGCAATAAGTGAATTTAGTAAGGTGAATTCACAAGGTGAATATAAAAATATCAATTGTTTCTATACAAATGTAGCAAACAACTGGAAAATAACATTTAAAAACAATTTTATTTATAATAGCATCAAAAACAAAATACTTTGGAATTAATTTAATAAAACCTATGGCAAGACTTAAAACTTTGCTGAAAGACACAAAAAGAGATCTAAAAAACAGTGGTTTAACATGTTCATGGGTTTAAAGACTGAATAGTGTGAAGATGTTAGTCCACTCCCAGATTAATTCATATATTTGAAAAGAAAATGAATGGTTTACTTTATGCATATCTGATGTATTTTACTATCAATAAATACAAACCGATTTTTAACAATACATTTGTAATGCTTTTTAATGTCTGTTTTGGGTTTTTGCTTTTTATATAAAAACTGTATTTTCTCTAAATCATGATGATTTCCCCAATGGTAAATTCCATATTAAGGTGGAATGTTTAATGTCAGCAAATTGAATTGTTCCTATCAACCGGATCCTGACCTCTTACTGCCCCTCCAAATTAAATGCTTTTTATATTTTCAATTTTTTTCTTTCCTTGACTTAAACTCATACTTCAAAAACTCAAAGAAACTTAAACTTCCAGCTCTTCATATTGGCTTATAGTTAAACTATTAAAGAAAGGGATTTATAGTTAGATTAGCCCATTGTTCTCATTGTATATGTCTAGTTTATCTGCATTTGTAATAAACTTAGTGCCCTAAAACATTTCGTAGGGGATGAGATTCCTTTTGATTATTACTTTGTAATTGATAAGTAGTCATTATATATGGCAAAGATAGTCATCCACAAACCTAGGTTCTCTCTTATTATTTGACTTCCAAGAAAAGGCACTCCCAAAAATCATTTGTGTACTTTACTACGTTTGCCAAATAATGCCACTGTCTTTTATAAAACCTGACAGTTTTCATGAGTACTTTTTATTTTTTTATTTTTATTTTTTTGTGAGAACTTTTTCAAAACCAAGCAGTAACTGAAGCCAGATGGATTCCTACTAATGATTCAGGATCCCCAGAACAGCTTGCTCATGCTGACGAACTCATGGCCAGTCAAGCAAGGGAACAGGGAAACCATGCTGATGGGAGGCTGAGCACACTTACTTAGGGACTGCACAAAGGCAGAAAAGTACATGATGAATCCATATTCAAAAAAGATATGCAAATGGTCAGAAGTGAAAAATATAAAAACCAAGAGATAGGTGACACACAGAGACCAAAAAAGACAGGAGAAATATGAAGGAATGGGGGGAAGAATGATGCAGATCATCTGATGTTTGTTATTATGGAATCAGTAAGCTTATTCTTCTAAATATTAATTATTTAGTAATTATTACATGGTTATTACATGATCATCTGTGCAATCCAGAGTTCAGTATTTTGAAAGTGTTTTCTAGGGCAGGTATAGGGTGCCTCACACCTGTAATCCCAACACTTTGGGAGGCCCAGGCAGGAAGATCACTTGAGGCCAGGAGTTTGAGAATAGCTTGGGCAACAAAGTGAGGCCCCGTCTCTACAAAACAATTTAAAAATAAGCCGGGCAAGGTGGTGTGTGCCTGTAGTCCCAGCTACTCAGTTGGGGGGCTGAAACGGGAGGATTGCCTGGGCCCAGGGGTTGAAGGCTGCTGCAAGCTATAATTGTGCCACTGCAATCCAGCCTAGGCGAAAGAGTGTGGTCTTGTCTCCGGGGGCGGGGGGGGGGGGGGTTCCTCCCCTAGGAATCCAGGGTAGGAGACCTGAGATGGATGGAGCAAACCCTTAATAAACCCCCACAGCTATTGGACATGACTGAAGCTTCCAATTCCTAGTTTTAAATTGTCTCTCATGGGTAAAGGACCTTCTGTCTTCATTATCTACTTCTGATGCTGGATTCTGGCGTATGTACTGGTTAATGCAGTACCTGAATTCCCATTTAAGAATCAGATGAGAAAGCAAGGTGATAGAAGAGTACCTATAATGTACCTAACACATAGAAGGAGTAAAAAGGAAATCTAGAAAACATTCTTGTTTGTTATTTTGGAGTTAGGCAAAGGGCCAGAATTTAAAGATATAAAGAAAAACACAACAACTAAATACCTATGATCTATCACTCAGAATTAACAACAGTAACATTGTGATATATTTATTTTCTTTTTAAAGAAATGAAGCATCACTGATAAAGCTAAAGTCCCCATACTCAAGCCTACCCTGTTCCTTCCCCCTCCCCTTGATAGAGGTAACCATTATTATGAATTTGGTACATACCTTCTGGTCAATTTTTTATATTATTTTAGGACATACACATATCCATAAACAATATAACGTTTTATGTTTTGAAATATATGTTTAAAATGTATATATATCATACATATTCTGCATTTTGCTGATTTCATACATTATCTTTTGGAGTTCTATCCATGTTGAAGTGTGCATGTGTTCTGTTCATATGTGTATGTGAATATACCACATCTTAGCCATTTTTGTATTTAGGTTGTCCATACATTTTCATTATTACAAATAATGGCTCAGTGAATGTTCTTATACATAGCATCTTGTCCAGATCTTCATATGCATAAGTAGAAGAATTTCTAATGGCAATATCCAAAAGTAGAATTTCTAGATTGTAATATTTGCATATGTCCAACTCCACTTGCCATCTGGCAAACTGTTTACCAAAATAATTGTTTCAGACTTCCCCCAGAGTGTGTAGTTTGAGACAGCCATTTTCCCCATATCCTTCCCAATGCTATTGATATAATTAATTTACCCTATCAAATGGATGAAAAATAGTATCTCATTTCAATTTGTATTTCCCTGAATATTATGGAGCCTAGGCATCTAAGTTTGCTTTTTATATTTCCTATTCTTTAAATGAGTATTGGTCTCTTTTCATCCATTACGCCAAGCACTCAATAAGTACTTCGCCTTCAATTATGAGAAATTTTCTTGAAATATACTATTCATTTTTTCTTTCTTTTCATTTATTCTGTTTTCCCTTTTTTGGAATGTTTAATAATACAGAGCTGGCCCTCCTGCACTAGTATATTTACTTTATCTTCTGTTTATTATTTCTTTGCCCTTTTGCTCTACTTTCTAGAAAGTTTTCCTCAACTTAATGTCCAATATTTCTTTGAGTTTTTCTTTTCTACTATATGTTCTTAATTGGTAAAAATTCTTTTTTGTTCTCTGAATGTTTTTTTTTAAATATCCCATTCTTGCTTTATGGGTGCAGCATCCAGTCTTTCTGCATGCACATATCTGGGTATTTGTATATATATATGTGTGTGTGTATGCATATGTATCTATATATGGCTGTATGTGTACGTGTGTATATGTATATATGTATGTACATGCATACATATACATCAAGTTTTCTAGGTGGCATAGTCTATTTTCTCCAGTTTTTCTCTATTTGCTTATTTTGGTTTCTGTTATTCATATTAGAAGCTTTCTCAGATGCCCAATGGTATTTAGTTGTTTGGGTACACAAAGTTGATGGAAAGTTCTAGTTATATACATGGGACTTATCAATTATGACCTTCCCTACAACAAGGCAATCTGTCCAGGCTCTTTGTGAGGGCATAAATATTTATGTGAGAAACCTGGCTCCCCTTTTCTAATGCTTAGCTTATTTTTCAAACACTTGTATACAGGTAATGTAGTTTACACTGTTAACCTATACCCCTATAAGAAACAAACTTACCAAGTGGAGTACAGTATTTATGTATAGTTCTTTTTGTCTTTAGGTTTTTCTCCTTGAGTTGGTGGGATTCCCAAAAAGATTCCTCCTATTTCCTGCCTGGATGCTAAAGGGCCTAGTTTTCAATTTGGGAGCCAATAATGGAGAAGGGGGCCAGGGGTTCTGAGCATTGGAAATGTCAGTACTCACTTAATTCCTCTCCACCTTCAATGTGACTGGTGTCCACTAGCCAAGAGACCCTCTGTTTTAACCTATAAGATGGACCTCAAGCCTCCCACTTGTCAGGATGGGAGAAGTGCATAAGCACAGTGACAGAGAGTGAAGAAGGATATCAGTGCATCTAGTGGCTTTTTAAATAGCTTTGAAACCATCTTCCTCATTTTAGTTCACTTCCCTTCTTAACTTCCAGAGTTACATACTACTACTATCCGAGCCTTTTGAAGATTCACCAGTATCAGTCCAACTGGTCATCAGCTTTCTTCCCTTAAAACTGGCTTTCTCAAGTTTAGTGAGATTGCTACTACTATTCTAGCTGTTCTACCCCTTCAAAAATTTTGTCATATTCCCTCCCATTCTCCTAGTCTCCCTGGATTTATGACTTTTAAAAAATCCTTATTTATCCTATTTTTGTTGTTGTTTAACTAAACTGCTGTTTTGAGAGTGAACAATACTAAGTGCTCAATCTACCACTTTTACATGGAACCAAATACTATATATTATTTCTAACATTTTATTTATTTCAATCTTCCTGTTATTTTGTAATTATTCAAAAATTTTTACTTCATGTATATATTATCACCTTAATTTTTTCGTGAATTTAAGAATCCACTATCCTGACATTGAGAAGCAGTAAGCAACAGAAATTACTCAATAACATAAAGAATTGTATGACAGAAATAGAGTTAACAATAGGCAGCAAGGCCTATGCAACAGTTCATTGGAAAGGTTTGTGAAAAAGAACCAGCTTTCAACCAAGAGAACGTCCCTCTGTACACACAAGCTGACACCATTGATTGTGACTTTTATAAAGCAGGAAAAAAAATCCATCTTCCATTACCAAATATTGCCTTATGATATGACTGTCAAAAGAAATTGTGGCTTAATGTTCCCTCTCTTTTTTATCACTGTTCTTAAGTCCATTTTATCTAAGTATCGCTTAATGTTCTCTCTTGTAAGGAAGTAAAAAAACAAACTTACCAACTAGAGTACAGTATTTACATGCCTAAAGGACAGTAAATTCTCTCACCCCGGTATACTGACTGTGAGGTGTGATGAAAATTTGTTATCAAAAACAATTAAAATACCAATGATTTACATATTATTTATTTAAAATTGGAGAAGATTCAAGATTATTATAACGTGGCTTTAACTTATCTTCTTTAGGATATACTTTTTGATGGGGAGAGAAAAGAATAAAGCTAGTCAAAATTCCCAGTGTTCTGGGACTCATAGTTTAGGTTAGGTGTACTGCCATCCAGTAGTGAGTCATTATAAATAAACCATTAACACTAATGGCAATTATAAATTATTTTGGTAGCATGGAGTTATAATTCCACAGTAGCTTATGTATACTTGTTAATTTTACCCCAAATAAAATTTAAAAAGAAGGTGCCTGAAAAAGGTGGTTTTAAGAGATCAAATTTTGGGTGAAAAAATGCAAGATTTTAATAAAAGAATGAAGAAAGAATATTACCAACTTTCTTATCAATGATGACACAAGTCATGCTTTCCAAACTGAAGATGAAAAAGATTTTTAAAAAATTTGAAA